>NC_000003.12:133251028-133402543 GCF_000001405.40 Homo sapiens | reverse complement strand
CATTTATAGTCACTTAAGAGGAAAGTGAGCCCATGTGGGATCCTGACCCTCAACTACAGAGGTCGCATGTCTTGGTGTGTGGCTGTGGTGCTCTCACAGGATTTTAGAGCTTCCTAGTCTGTACTCTACCTGTAAGCAGGAGCCAGGCTCTTATTTGTCTACAGATTTGCTGGAATATGTAAGCATTGTTATACCCATTTTGTAGATAATGAAACTGAGGCCCAGAGAAGTTAGTAAGTTGCAAAGGCTCTTGTAGCTATCTGGAGCCAGAACAAGTCAGTATCTATTGAGTATAAACTAAGTTTTGTGGCCCTACTTTTTAACCTAGCCATTGGGATACCTGATTTCTCCTGACAAGTCTGTGTGGCATCTGATTGCAAGCGATTGTCCAGCAGATGCTGACATATTGGAGTATCTAGGGATGTTCTGGTGGTTGTTATGGCACAATATTTGGAATAAGGACAGTTGTGAAGAATCCTGGAGGAATGGCTGCCTCTTAGATTTGACAGGCGTTAAGGCCCTGGACTGTTCTAAGATGGCTCTCCCTTGCAGCCCAGATGGATGCAAGCAGAACAGCAGCACCAGGGGGAGAGCCTGAGAGGATGGTGCTGTTCATCATGCACTCTGTGCTGTCAGTGGGCACTGACAGCAGTGCAGGAGAAGCATCCTGGGATGAAGTGGGAGGCAGGAGGGGCAAATGGGGAGTCCCTGTGTGCAACTGCTTAGCTTCCCCCAGCTATACACAAATAAAATTTTGTGACCTCCTCTTGGGAGGCTGCATACTGGACTCCAGGGGGCCAAGGGTCTGAGTTGGCAGTCCCTGGTGGGTTAGAGACTGATTTTGCTCAGAGGGATCCCAAGGCCAGCATCTGGAGAGAAAGAGGAGGAGGAGAGGTGAAGCCAGCTATCCACAGAGAGACCAGCTGAGAGGTGTAATGCTGGCTGGAGTCCCAGCATTAGAACTACAGGCTGCAGGCCAGACATGATGGATGTGCTCCAGACTCCGCAGAAATCACCCTGGAGAGTGGGAAAAGCAGGGCTGACCAAGCAAGGGAGAAAGATGAAACCTCTGCATCCTTCCCTGTCCAATAAGATAGCCATTAGCTACCTGTGGCTGTTTACATTTAAATTAATGAAAATTAGATAAAATAAAAATGCAATTCCTCAGTCTCATTAGCCACATTTCAAGTGCTTGATAGCCATATATGGCTAGTGGCTGCCAGATTGGACAGTGCAGATATAAGATATTAATATTTCCATCACGCAGAAAGCTCTACTTGAATGTAAATTACCTCATTAATATATTTTGTATTGATTACATGTTGAAATAACATTCTGGACATATAGAGTTAAATAAGCTATAATATTAACTTCACCTGCTTCTTTTTACGTGTTTTACTGTGGGTAATAGAAACTTGTCAATTACCAATGTAGTTCATATTTCTATTGAACAGCGTGGTTGTAGGTGGATACAGGAACACACCTCCATTTATTCATTGTTCTTAACACCTCATCCATCCAATGGTATTTGATTGGATAATAGCTGTAAAAATCCCTTCTCAACAGTAAAGGTGACTGAGGCAGCCCCAGGGTAATGGGGCAAATGCAACTTTGGAGGCACAAAAATTCAGGTTCAAATCTCATCTCCATCCCTCTACTAGCTTTGAAGTCTTGGGCAAATTACATGCCTCAGTTTCTCATCTGAAAAATGCAATCAGTGAATGATCCACTGCATAGCATTTCTTTGAAGTTTAAAGAAGACAGTGGGTAGTGCACGTATGGGGGCTAGCGTGGGCTCCTAGTAAACCTCGGTAAAAGGTAGCATTGTTGTTATCATTACCATTTTAAGTGTGAAAGTGTAGGGGATTATGGTCAGTTTCTCTGGCCTCAGCCTACTCACAACCCTACCCGCTGCCTTCAGCAGCCCCTCCCAGCCCTCTGCAAAGCCCTTGGCACAGCCTGGACACTTACCTGCTGGCAGCTGCTGGCCCAGGAAGCCCGTAGGGCACCCCAGTTTCCCGAGCGTGTGGCTTTGCTCTCCAGGTGCATCCGCAGTTGTGTTTCCAGCTCCTGACTGACTTGCTCAAGGGCGTGCACTTTGGCCATATATTCCACCAGGCAGCCCCCTAGGTCCTCAACAGCACCATGGTCCCTCTCCAAACCTGGAGCCGGCACGGTGGCCAGGCCTGAGCTCCGCAGGCCCTGAAGGAAGACACTGCTGATGCCGAGGGCCCGGCGGGTCACACGGGCACCCAAGCCACCTATGCACCCACTGGGTGCTGTTCCTACATAGACCCCGGGTGCTCGGACAAGGCCACTCATGGCATTGGTCCTGGAGGCTGGGGGGCTCTCCAGGGAGGATGATGACCGTGGCCCCCTGAAGGACGCCCTGCGCCTCTGGAGGGGCATGCTGGAGCTGGCACTGGTGGGCAAGTCCACTACCACTCGCCTCTCACTCATCACCCCTTCTGCCTCTGTGGTGCCCAGTGGGTTTACAGAGTCCAGTGGCTTTTGGTTTACAGCCCCAGCATCCCTGTGGCCTGGTCACGGGCCTCTCTGGAATCTCCCCTATCCCTGGGGCTGCTTTGTCTGCTGTCTTCCATGAGTTTCCATCATTCACTGAGCTGAAAGAGAAATGGGCACTGCCCAGGGCTGTGTGCAGAGAGGCACTCATGCATTCTTTGATGCAGGGTCATGTGCCCAACCTCCCAGATTATTCTGCTGGTGGTGGGGGAGGCTGGATCAGTGCAGGCTGTGGAGGTAGACCATTTGGGTTTGTGCATTTTACTACCTAAGTGGGCAAGGCAGGCATCAAGCAACCCCATTTTACAGATGAGTAAACTGAGGCTCAAGGACCTCAGATGACAAGTGTACTGATCACTTGCCCCAGACCTCAGATTACAAGCTAGGACTCAATCTAGCTATTTCAGGGCTTTCTACATCCCTATGTGTGCTGGCACATGTGAATGTGAACACATGTCCACACAGGCAATAGAGGATGAAAAATGGCAGGAGGCAGCTCCAGGGACCCAAGAGAAAAGACTTGCCTATGGTTTCCTCTCTCAGTCCTGGCAGCAGCTTCAGGTCCTTCCCTCACCTCTCTCCTTTCCTCCTCATCTCTGTCCTCTAATGCTCTGCTGTTCATCAGCTGCTTGCTGTTGGCCAGGATGCTTCCTCCCTCTGGACCTCACTGTCTGAACATTGGCTTGGGCCTTTAACTCTCTGATGCACCAGATAAGGACCTTGGGCAAATTCAGATCCCACACATGTTCCGGCCATTCCCTACACCTCTGCTTCTCCATCTGTTGGAAAACTGAGAAATAAAAACAACAACGAGGGTGTTTTCTGGTAAGCCTCTCCAAGGGTGCCCCAAGTTAGGATATGATGACACCCCTGGGTTTTAATTATTGACCTTGGCATCCACTAAGCCACCAAGGGTCACACCTCAATCACTTCTCTAGGATCAGAAAGGTTCCCCCAGTTACAGGATGACAACATGGACCTAAAAACCTCTGTACATAAGTTTTACCCTGGAGAAACCAGGTCACCAAACCCCAGAGCTGGATACTTTTCCAGATGCTGTAATGTAGGAATGTACCTCAGGTGAGAGAAGGAGAAGGGAGTCAATCTCTAGTGAGTAGCAGATCCAGCCTGGTGTGTGCATGAATCCTATGGTTTATTTCGTGGAATTCTCAACTCAACCTCAGGAGGAAGGAGGTCCAGGGTTGACAGGTACTGCCATATGGGCTGTGTACCTCACAGCTCTAAAATGACATGTCCTACAGTTGGCCACTGTCCTCTTATGTGAGGAGGACCCCGAGAGCTGCAATGACTTGCCCAAGGTTCTATGTCCAGAAAGTAGCAGAGCTGGGGGCAGACAACCTCTTCCAAACTCTGGGCCACTGACTTACTTAGGAGCCTCCCTGTTGCCCACCACCCAGAGAGCAGAGTACCTACCTGAGGTCACGCAGGTAGAGGTAAAAAACCTGGTCGCCTACTAGAGGACCCTGTGTGCACTTCCTTCCTACTGACCAGGACACTCCAACCCTTCCTTTCTTTATTGTCTTCCACTTTGTCTCTCTGAGATGGCCTGGGAGGTATTTTATAAATATCAGTGTTGGCTATTTGATGAACAGATGAAAGAACCAATTGGATTAAGTAAAGGCCAGTAGTGTCCTTGTTTATTCAGATGTAGCATTAATGCTGTGAACACCACCCCTGATGCACCCAGAAGGGGCATGCGAGCCTGTGTTACAGTAACAGCCTCCTATACGGATGACACTGACTTGGTTCTGAGGATCTGCATTATTGTGAATTCCAAGATGTATTGTCCAAGGCTGAATGAAAAGTTCAGGCTACTGATTAAGTTGTGCACAAATGTGTCATGTTTAGGCATTGTTATTCTCTACAGAATGGTAACACTCAATGGCCAGGTTAACTTCAGACTTCTCCGGACCAAAGATATTTACTATATAAATCCACTCAGCCCTGGAGACAGGGAGAAAGAGGGGGGGATGTACTTTGACACCACTGTCTCCAAAGACCTGATGAAAGATGAGTCTGTTTTGGAGAAACTGCAAACATGTTCAAAAAGATTTATTTTATCAAATGATAAACTGCTAATCCTATTAGCTCATCACATACATAAAACTCAACTTACTGTTAAATCAGATTAAAAAATACAGATGGATATAAAGTGGTGTTGGTACTGCTTAAGGAAGACTTAGAGCTTATCTTGAAAAGAATGCAAAATGTATTAGCAACAGAATCCTCTGGCTAATAAAATAAGTTTATTTATATATACATGGTAGCTGAAATCTGTGGATAAGGAAAAATAAGTCATACATCCACATATGTATATATAACATATGTATCTTTGATTACATATATTATATATAAATTTTACTTTACAAACAGATTTTTCTCTGTATACTTACACACATTGGTATATTAAATGTAACAGTTAACAGAAATATTATGGTAAGGTTAAAAAGGTAAGACAACAACACGCTAGAAAATTAAACTTAGAGAAACATTTAGTTGCTTCTTTGTGGGTTGAAGAGTCTTTGAAGAGAGACAACAACCGAACTCATGTGAAGGAGGTTCATACAACATTGAGAACACACTTTTGAAGGCCATCTTTTTTTTTTTTTTAAGGAAAATGCAGAAAGAAAAAAGTCATGATAGACTACAGCAACAACACAAACATATGACCCAATATTCAAGTTCAATTCCCAATCTGACTATAAGAGCATCTATATTCAAAATATACTATCAAACTATTTTTCTTTTAGAGAAAGGAAGTGTCAAAGCAGTAATCATCTCTCTCAGCCACAATCAGGAAAAAATAGAGAAGCGGCCACCTCTGGAAGCCCCTTGGGCGTCTCTGAGGGTCTGACGTTGTTGGCCGTGCTGGACACAGCACGGGGAGGCAGCCAGCCGGCCGGGAACAAGGGGAGCAGTGGAAGCTGAGAGCTGGATGGCAAGTCCACCGGCTGGTGCTGCGAGCAGGTTTGCAGTGCCAAGTAGGAGTATAATGATGTCTTCTCCCAAATGATTTGTTTGGGCAATCTTTTTTTTCTTTTTTAAAGATTGCAGGAGGAAGGTTTCAAAAATTATCGCTCTACTACCTCAAAGCTTCTTAGATAAACATGTTCCTCAGGGGCACGATACCATGGCCTTTTGAGAAAACAAAGCTGAACCCCAATAAACATTTGATCCTTGAAGAAGGAAGGGCAAGCATTTTAAAGCTCCAGGGCCGGGATCTGCATCTAAACCCTCTCCAAGAGAAAGGCACGGGTGTTTAATGCAGATGTGGGTGTTGGAGGGGATACAGGAATGGGCATAAAGGGAGCATTTTCCCACCAGGGAAAGGCAGTCCTGTTGTTAGCAGTGGAAGTAATGTTAGGGGAATATGGCCTTGGGATGCCTTGATGTCCTCCATGGATTCCTGAGGGCTCCATGCTCCTGCCTGCCATCCACAACTTGGATGGAATTAAACATGACATCCAATGGTGCCGTCATAAGGCTCCAGGGTACTCATCCTCAGAGGTGATGAGATGTTCCCTTTTCCTTCTCTGTGCATGAGTCTGCCGTCTTCCCCTGAGGCGGTCCAGTTCCCTTTACAGGTGTGCGTATGAGAAGGGAGGAAATGGGGTCACACCAAATCAAGAGGAACCAGAGCTTTAAGAATCACTCAAAGAATCGTGCGCTTGCACTGTAACATTCAGCTTCTACAGGAGGTCAGTCTCTTACCTCACCTGACCAGGGTTCCTGGGATCCCCAGGTGCTCAAGAATAGTTATTAAGAGAAGCAATCAATGCAACTGCTTTGCTTAGAAATACCTTTATTTTATAAAGCCACAGATCATTCTGTAAAGTTTTTTTTTTTTTTAAACCACACTTGTAAAAAAGATGTTGACAATTCATAGGAAAAAAAGCTGAAAATGTTTCTCATTAAGTCAGGGTTACACAAAGGTTATATTTATAATATATGTATTTGTATATTTATAATTTAGAGACGAAAAATACGGAATGGCAAAGTGATGCCTGCTGTAGTTAGATCTCAGATACTTGATCGTTTCCCACAAACAGTGTTTCTTGACAGAAGGGGTTAACAAGGACCATCCCAGTGTCTCTATAGTCGCCATTGGCTGGGGAGCGGGGCTCTGAGAGCTGGTCCTGGGAAGAGAGAGGGAGGAGATGGAGTGAGCTGGAGAAGGCTTAAGAGGTGGCCATTCTTAAAGAAATGTACACATGGGAACATTTATTTCAGCACTGATGGCTTGGTGCACATTTTCATCATCCCTACTGCTAATGCTGAGGTGCACAGCCCTCTATGCCATTCTTTTAATTAATTTGTGTGTGTGTGTGTATGTGTATATTTTAATTTTTGTGCTGTTCTTTCATATTTTTATAGCAGCTTTCAAAAAATGTTCCCTGCTTCTGGAATCACCCCAATCCCAGGTTGCCAGAGATGGTACTGCTTTCCTTGTCAAAGTCTGAGGGGACTTGCCATGCATGACACACATACAGTGCATGGCTCACTGCACTAGTGGCAAAACTCAGTCCACTTGCACCCAGACTACTTCCTGCCTCTTTCTCACAGACTTCTGGGAAACTTCTCTGCTTTTCCTTCCTGAATACACCTAGACTCACTCGCCTGTTTCCTGCTACCCACCTGTCAGGATCTAACAGACCTGTCAAGAGGCTTCAAGGGCCAATTCCTTCCCGCTCTGAGTCCTTCCAGAGCCTGGTCAGAATTATTGCCCCATTTCTTATAGCACTAGTGATGCTGAGCTGAATGGATCTGCATCTCTGTGTGACTGCATAATAAGTGACAGATGAAAATTTCAGTCTGTATGTTCAGTTGCAGGAGCAGAAAAGCCTAGAAATAGGCCATCCACTGCCCAGAAGGTAATCTGTATGGCTTTGGCAGGGTTTTGGTTTCACTTACCAAGGACAAGCAAACATTTACGGGCTACTAAATGGCTGTACTTGGATTTGGGCCCTGGTACTAATTAAGAGAGAGAAAAAAAGAAAGTCATAGCTTCTTCCAATTAAAACAGCTAATGTCTTGGAACCTTCAAGCCATTTCAGGACAAAGACTCAACTATAGGCCTAGGTATACTGGCTCATGCCAGATTTGCTTAGCCACAATTAATTCTCTGAAGTTTATTTTTAAACAAAACATACATAACAGATACTTTCTGAGGAGTACTTACTGCTGTATGAATCATAAGGTAAGGAAGAAATGCCATTGTTGATAAAATGTCTTTTCAGAAGACAAGAATTTCCTTCAGTGTCTGGAATTAGTTCAACACCTATCTAAGGGTGGATATGGGGCCAGCCATCTAAGGAAAATAGTGGAGCACTTCAAAGAGGAGACAAAAATCCCTTTCCTCCACCATGCTTTTGGGTTTAACTGTGGAGGCTGAGCTTGGCTTGTCATTTTATAGCTTTCACAAAGCAAGTCTTCACCAAAGGCAAAACCATGTGGGTATGTTTTGCTGCATTAAAGAGAGAGTTATTCAGGAAACAACCAAAGCAAAGGAGAAGAAAAAAGAAGGGAGGAGAGAAGGAGGGAGAAAAGAAGGAAGAAGAGAAAACAGGGAGAAGGAGGAGGAGGAGGTGGGAAAAAGAAAAAAGAATGGAAGTTTCCAAGCACTTGTTGGGCATCACAATTTTGTCTGTACAGCCCTGGATCTGTGTTTTGCTGCTTGCATCAACACAGCAGTGGGGGCAGGGCAACTGAGGAACTTGCTTAGGCAAACCATTTGGCAGTCTCCAAAGTTAGCAGCTAAAGGGCAGGTGGTGAGTACATGTCCTGAGGATGTGGAACATGGTGGAATATGAACTGGGACCTTATGATTGCTCTAGAGATGGTCAGCAGTGTGTGTGTGCTTGGCTGGCTTCATCCTGGCCCTAGGCTGCCTGCATTTACCCTCATATAGTGTGAGCCCAGAGAATTGGAACAAATTGTAATATTACTCTAAATAAAGCAGAACAAGAGGAACGGCTTGCTGGGAGGGAAACAGCAAAATCCAATCCACTCTGAAGCCAAGCTGAGCTTTGTGCTGCAGGTCCTATGGCGCCCTCCTGGTCTGAAGATCACGACTGGCTGGGGCAGCCCTTTCTACCAGAGCCTCTGGATTGTGTTGGACGGCAGCCCTCGTGCTCTGTGCCAAATGACTAACTGGGATGTTCTAAAAGCAAGGGCCTTTTCTATAGTGCGTTCACGAGTATTGTCCTTTGGCTTTGGTTTTCATTTACCAATTTGCAAAGAGAATATGAGAAATTTAAAGTTCAGGGGTTCACAGCCCATACCTAAAGTAGGACCAGCCCCTTTGTCAAGTTACATATTTTTTTCCACTTACTACAACAGATCTCAGGAACACCTTTTCCATGCAAAATGTGTACAGGCCACACTAAAGGTCAATGCTGCAGTGAAGCTGGCCCCTCGTTTGTCCTCTGCTTAAAAATTTTTCTTGGGCATTTACTGTGTGTTAGGCTCTGACTGGGTGATGGGTAAATTGTGGTGAACAACATTTATAGTTCATTCACATGATAAACATTTACTAAGAACCTACCATGTGCCAGGCACTGCTCCAGGTGCTGGGAATAGAGCAGTGAGCACAACAAACAATGCTCCTGCCTCAGGCAGCAGGACAGCCAGACCACAAACCAATCAACAGAGAGACAATGATGCAATGTCAAGTGGTGAGAAGAGCTCTGAAGACAAGTAAAGTAAGGAAGAGGAAACAGAATGAGGTTGGAGATTTAATTAATACAGAGTGGTAAGGGAGGGAGGGCCTCCCAGAGGAGGTGGCATTTGAACAGAGACCTGAAGGAATTGAGGGTTCAAGGTATCCAGGAGAAAAGCATTTCAGATAGGGTGCAAGAACGAAGCTCTAAGGTGGGGGCAAGCTTCCTGTGCAGGAGGAAGAGCAAAGAGGCCACTGAAGCTGGTGTGTGATCAATGGGAAGTGTGGTGGGGGCTCAGGTGGTGGGCAGGGGCCAACTTGTGAAGGGCATGAGAATGGGAGTCTGGATTTTATTCAAAATGTAGAGAAGAGCCACTTGAAAGTGGAAGCTGTGGCGGACATGGGATCCTGCCTTGAAAAGATCATCTGGCTCTTGTGCAGAGGGCAGACTGCAGAAGGCAAGATGGTAGTGGGGAGTCCTAATTTAGAGGCCATTGCAGCACTCATGGTGCGAGGGAGGAGACTGGCTTGGATCAGGGGCAGAGGTGCAGGCAATGAGAGGTGCTGGTCCTTAGGGAGAACCAATGAAATTTTCTGACAGACTAGAAGTGGGGTGTGCAGGAAGGAAAGGCAGCTGGCAGTACCATCTACGTAATCAGGAGCTGCATGTGAGGTTTGGGTTTTGGGGTTGGGAGGGCGAAATCAAGGGTTCAATCTTGGGTGTGTTGAGTTTGAGGTGCCTATTAGACATGTGCAGCAGGTAGCTGGGTAGGTGAGTCTGGGGCCAGGGGAGACATTAAGGTTACAGGTAGAAATCTGGACTCTCTAGTGCAGAGATGGTATTTAAGTCATGGGACTAAGTAGAAAGAGAATAGAAGTGACTGGGGGCAGTGGCTCACGCCTATAATCCCAGCACTTTGGGAGGCTGAGGTGGGCGGGTCACTTGAGGTGAGGAGGTCGAGACCAGCCTGGCCAACATAGCGAAACCCTGTCTCTACTAAAAACACAAAAATTAGCCGGGCGTGGTCGCGTGTGCTTGTAGTCCCAGCTACTTGGGAGGCTGAGGCAGGAGAATCACTTGAACCTGGGAGGCAGAGGCTGCAGTGAGCTGAGATCACACCACTGCACTCCAGTCTGGGCAACGGAGTTGAGACTTCATCTCAAAAAACAAAAACAAAACAACAACCAAAAAAAAAAAAAAGAAGAGAAGTGGTGGCAGGACCGAGATGGGGCGCTCCAGTGAATAGAGGTTGGGGAAAGGACAGGGAATCAGTAATGGGAGCTGGGGGAGAGCCTGAGAAGGCAGGGCCTCTGCTGCCATGTGACAGTGCCAGTGCTGCACAGATGGAGTAGGATGAGTGCTCGGAATTGGCTGCTGGGTTTAGCGATGTGGAAGCAACTGGTTACTCAAGTAGGGGAGAGGGGTACTAAACTAATATCAGACCAGTAGCATATCACAGCTCTAAAAAGGGTCACAATGAAAAAGCACAGGGAGCTAAGACCACGTGACAGGAGAGCTGAACCCAGCCTGGCAGGTTAAGGAAGGCCTCGCTGAGGAAGTGACATTTAGACTGGGCCCTGCAGCAGGATGGGTTGGAGTCACTGAGGTGAGCAAGTGAAGGGGGTGCTGGGGAGAGCCTGAAGATGTTGTAGGAGAGGCGACAGCCCATGCACACACCTGGAGTGGGTGTGATGTAACCTGGTGCTGTGAAGGAACAAAAAGAAATCCAGTGTGGCTGGAGCTTAGCAAAAGATGGGGAGAGGGGTGTGATGTGAGGCTGGAAAGTTGGCCTGGGTCTAGGTCTACCTTGCAGGTCCTATACAAGACTTTGAACTTTAACTGGAGAGAAATGAGAAGGTTTTAAGCATGTGAGCGATGTGACCACAGTTATGTTTACAAAAGCTCACCTTGGCTGCTCTGGGGAAGGGACCCACACGGGAAGGAGGGGTGGGGTTGCACCTCCACAAGAACTCTTCTCAGCTCTCACTGCCTTACTCAGATGTCTGTTATCTTTCTCCTGGGCCATCTCAATTGCATCCTAGTTGAGCTACCTATTTTTAGTCTGTCTTTCTGTGTCATTCCATCTATTTACTCATCCATCAAGCCATTATTTTCTTTCCTTATCCATTCGCTGATCACATATAGGGTGCTTTCACCAGGCCATCAGCATAATCCTTCTAAAACTGGGTCACCCAAAGATCAAAACTTTCAGTGACTCTCTGCTGCCCCAAACTAGAGTCCCAATGCCATAATACCCCATTAAGGCTGTGTCTAATTGGGCCTTTATCCTTCTTTACTGTTTCACTCTGGCCTCTACGCCACCCTCCGTGTGAGGATGGAAAGAGTATGGATTCTGTGGTTAAAGTCCTGGGTTCAAAGCTCAGCTCACTCACTGACCAGCCAGGTGTCTTGGGCAAATATGCTGACAGTGTATTCTTCTTTCCCTTCAGATCCAGCACGTATCCTCACCTTTCCTCAGGCTACCTCCTCTGCTGGAATGCCTGTTGAAATCCATTAATCCTTCCTAGCATCTGCACTGGGAAGGCTTTCCTCCTTGGGTTTCCACAGCTCTTTGTCTATAACTCGTCTGTGTTTGTGTTTCCCCTAATTGGCTTTGTTTTTGGGTGATGTTGGGGTTTGTCCTCCAGCCACATCTCAGAACCTGAGCCCCTTAGGAGCAAGCTCTCATCTTCATAGTGCCCTGGGAGTGCTCGGCACAAAACAGGTCCTCACTGAGTATTTGTTCACTTGTTCCCAGAAACCAAAAGTCCCAGGAACAGTGCTTCCAAAATTTACTGTGCAGAAAGCACCTGGGGATTCTTGCTAAAACACAGATCCTGGCTCAGTAGGACCAGGGTAGGGCCTACAACCTCTTGGGTGTTATTGATACTGCTGGTCCATGGGCCATACGTTAAGGAGCAAGGCACTCAGAAATGAGCAGATGCCCCATGGCTCTCTTTGGACCTGGTTTCCCTGCAGTGGGGCCAGCACTTTCAAGCTCATTACCTCAGAGGTTTCAAGGGACTGGATCTCCCTGGGCAGCTCCACAGCATGCCTGTTGAAGTAGTCCATGGTGATGGTGTTGTTCCAGTAGCTCAGGTTGTTCTCCGGGTTGGCGGTCTTCTTCTTCCTCTTCATGCAGCACACCGTCAGCAGGACAGCTATGGAGAGAGTGCAAGTCAGAGAGGAGAGGGAGGCAGCAAGGATGGTGCCTGGGTTGCACCACCGAACTGATGAGGAGAGTTCCCAGCTGGAGTAAGTGTATGGTGGGAAAAGGGGCAGGGCATGGTGAACTGTACAAAGTGAGCCTTAATTCCACAGAAGACCTTTACAGCAGAAGTTCACAGAGCAAAATCACGGGGCAGAAGTCTTGAATGCTGATAAAATAGCTTTTCTGGTACTATCATCATCATCATCATCATCAAAAAATCCTGTGTTAATAGTTATATAGGACTTACGTCCCAGGCATGGTTCCAAGGACATAGAAATATTCATTTAATCCTCTATTTAGCCCCATAAAGTCAGTACTGTTAGGATCCCCATTTTACAGATAGGAAAACTGAAGCTCAGAGAGGTAAAGTGATAGGCCCAAAAGCAAACCCAGACATCTGGACTCCAAAGTCTATGGTTTTTTTTTTTCTTTTTTTTTTTTTTTTTGATGGAGTCTAGCTCCGTTGCCCAGGCTGGAGTGCAGTGGCGCAATCTTGGCTCACTGCAACCTCTGCCTCCTGGGATCAAGCGATTCTCCTGCCTCAGCCTCCCAAGAAGCTGGGATATTACAGGTGCCTGCCACCATGTCTGGCTAATTTTTGTATTTTTAGTAGAGACAGGGTTTTGCCATGTTGGTTAGGCTGGTCTCGAACTCCTGACCTCAGGTAATCCGCCTGCCTCAGCCTCCTAAAGTGCTGGGATTGATTACAGGTGTGAGCCACTGCACCTGGCCAGTCTATGCTCTTACCAGCTGATTCCTGCCTTAGATTGATGCAAAAGCCCACCTGCACAGATGGCCTGAGGTGGGCTCCACACAGCTTGACTGAGCACAGTGTGACATGTGACCCTGTCTGTTCATCCCTGAGACTCCCAGGGCCCAGGAGGAAGAATTATGTCTCGATATTGTTGATTAACCATGTGTGAATTGAGTGGCTTGTGAGCAGGGAAGGCTTCTGAGGTCAGAGAGGTGGGGTGGCCTGTCCAGATTCACACTGCAGAAGGGTAACACAAGGACAAGGGTGACAGAGGCCTCTTGGGGAGAAGCCATGAAGTGAGGACTGAGTATATCCTGCCCCAGGTTCATCATCACCAGAGCCTCTGGGGATGAGGAGAGCTGAAGCCAAGAGCCACATCTGACATCCTGGTGGTGCCAACCATCTCTGTGCTGGGGAGTCGGGGTCCCAGGCTGGGCTGTCCAGAGAGGCCAGCACCGGGGGTTGGCAGAGGGCCAGCTCTGTTCGCAGCAGCCTGAGGGTCTGGCCAGCATCAGGGGTGGGTTCATGCCAGGGTGTGGGGCAGTTGCACAAGCTGGCACCTGTATAGGCTGAGACCTCACAGCCCAGAGCCCAGGGCCCTGTAGGCTGCCTGGGGAATTCTGTAGCTTTCTTTCCAGCTGCCAGCCTTGCTGGCCTCTCAACCTGGAAAGGTCTCTGTACAAGGTTAGGAGATAGGGTAAGTTTCTACTTTATCTTATCTGCTTTGATCAAAAAGACTTCTAATTTGCTTTTCAGTCTTCTAGATCCTTTTTAAAAAATCTTTAAAACATAGAAGGAATTTCTGAGTGTTAGGGCTAACGGGGATTTGAGAGATTAGCTGGTACAGAACTTTTCAAATATTGTGGATCTCTTTCCTCTTTCCCTCCCTTCCTTCCAAAAAACCCTTTCTTCAGATGGTTGAAGAGGAAAGGGGCAAGGAGGGGGCTGTGGTGCTCAGCCTGAAACTTGCTAATTCAGGCCGCCTCCTTATTCTAGAGGAAAAACTGTGGCCTAAAGTGCTGGCCGCCTTGCCACAGGTCACAGGTATGTGAGTGGCAGAGCTGGGACAAGATCCCGGGTCCCCTGTCCCCTTCTCTGGTGTCTCTGTTCTTCATTGTCACTACCTTTCACTCTGCTCCTGCAGCTGGCATGGTGAAACACCTGGAGGAGTTCTAGCTGGTGTGACAGAAGCCATAAAGAGGGAACCATCTGGGAAGTGGGAAAAGTGCTGTTTCCTCAGCTCCAGCTCAGTTTTGGTAGAGTTAGAGCTAGAGGGAGGGGAGCAATCAGGACAAACAGAACAGCTCTTCAGTTATCAGCCTGTAGGGGCACATCCCATCATGCCCCACAAAACACTGCCATAGACACAGAACACAGGCTGGCAGGGGAAAAGTGTATCTGTGAGTCAGATTTGTATAGTTTGCACGCCTCTCTAAGGTAGAAAGATATTTGTGCCTCTGATCTACTGAGCAGTTATAAGCAAACAGAATCAAAGTGACAGATGCCATCTTAGGCCTAGTCAATAGGGCAAAAGGGACATCGAATTTAGAATTAGAATCTAGGTGACAATCTATTACTTGCATGACTTGAGTAAGTTACTTAACCTCTCTCAGCGTCAGCTTCCTTGGGAAGATTAAATGCAGTCATACATCTGCCAGCACTTCAAATTGTCCCTGGTGCACAGTAGGTGCTGAAACAAATCAGCCCCTTCCCCCAGCCTACATTCTTATTCTAGAAGGTGGGGCATGGAAACCTAGAGAGGTGAACTTGCTCAAGGCCATGCTGCTAACCTGGGCTGGTAGAGGTTGCAGAATCCAAGTCCTCCGCCCCCGAGTCCAGTGCTCTAACAGCCCATGTTGTTAGAATGCCAGATGCAGAGATCCTGCCCTGCGGGAAGGCCTGGGAGTCAGAACAGAAAGTTCTGCTCCACGCTGTCTTCCCCTCACATGTTCATGCTCCTGGCCTGATTATATTTCTCTCAGGGAGTTTCCAGTGCTTCTCAAACACCATTTCATTTACTTACTGAAAGCCAGCCTGGCTACAGAAAGACCTAGGTTCAAATTGTGACTCTGCCATGTATTCCACCTGGAAAGTCACTTAAGATGAACTTCATAGGCTTGTAATGAGAATTAAAGAGATCATGGATGCAAAATGCCAAACACAATGCCTGACACACAATGGATGCTTAATTAATGACAGTTCTCTTCTTGTTCTCCCAACATCCTCTACAAGAGAGATCTAGAAAGAAAAACTGTGTTATATGACTATTGGGTGGCTCAAGGACAAAGCTCCACCTAGGGGTTAGAACATTCACTATTTCAGTGGTCTCACCTTTCATCCAAGAAAGAAAAGTACAAGTCAGACTTACAGGGTCTCTACTATATTCCCAGCACTGACCCAGGCACTTTGAAGCTTATTTAGCCCACATGATAACTGCCTGAGGAAGGCACTATTGCTCTTCCCATTTTCAGAACAGGTAACTGAAGGTCATAGAAGCTAATAGTATTGATCTTGATCACCCAACTAATTACTGCAACTTGAGTCCAGGTCTTGATGATCTTCAAGTTGATATCCACTATCCTGTATTGTCCTGAACACCGGAGGGTATAGAGATGACATATGCAGAAGCGTTTTGTAAACTGCGCAGCTCTATGCAAACACAAGATGTTAACTGTTCCCTTTCCCATTTAGTTGAAAAGCTTCAACTGCTCTGTTTCTCCTGAGGCAGTAGCCATCAAGACTCTGGAGGAGGTCATGGAGTCCCAATTTCCTTGAGTTTTAAAACAGAGTTGGGAATTAAGCTCTCTTGGGTTCCCAGGAATGTCACTGGGGAGTCATCCATGGCTTGTCAGATGTGTGACAGGAAGAAGAGGGGTCACTCCATTTTCAGATGGAGCCCTGAGTACTGTATTCACATTTGTGGAAGGGCATGCTTTCAGGTGATAGGATCTGCTGTGTGATGAGAAATGGAAATGAAACCCTGCAGGTCCCCTGAGGATTCAACCTTTCAAACAACTATTGAATTGCTCTTTCCCGGGCCTGTTTGAGCAGGCATTGCAAATCTTAAAAACAATAAGATGAATAATCATCACTGTTTGATCACTGCCATTTATTGAGTACCTTCTCCATGGCAGATGCTAAGATAAGACCTAACATGCATCATCTCTGATTTTACAAGTCTTCGAGGTTGCAGCCATGAAAATGCCCTGGTCAGCCATGATTGACCATGACAGGGGTACTAGTGCAGGCCTGTTCCTGCTGGACATGGAACCCCTCTAATGGCTTAAGGACTCCCACTGGCTGGCAGAAACTTTCTTAGAACAACACTGTAGTCTAAGACTCTTCCTACTGAATTCTCTTTCCTTCTCCCTCTCCTTTCATGGGGGTCAGGCCTGCACTGCAGTCTGGGGCTTCCTCTGCCTACTTCAGTTCCTTCCTGAACATTTTACAGGTGTTTCCCCCAATAATTCTCTTATATGCCTAATCCCATCTTGGTGCCTGCATCTCGAAGGAACTAACACAGTGGACAGGAGTCCCATTTTGCAGACAGACACTGGATCAATGATGAAGTTACTTGTGTAAGTCCTACAGCCAACAAATGTTAAGAGCTGGGGTTGTGTGCAGGTATGTTTGATTCCACAAGCCAAGTCTTAGAAGCATACTAGGCTTCCTCTCTAATGATCTATGCAGGCTTAACTGTGAGGACAGGGAGTGATGACACATTTCAGTTTGGCCCCTTTGTTTTGTCGATGAGAAACCTGAGACCAGTGAGGGAAAGGATTCGCCCATGGGTGCCAGTGGGAGGGGTGCACCTGGGCTGTGCACAGCCATTTCCCTCCTTTGGAGGCTGAGGGAGGAGGTCACAGGGAGGCCTCAGGGTATGGAGGGAGGTCAGGCTGGGGGGCTTAGTGTCTGACCCACCAGCCTGGCAGGCGGGAATGTGCCTGTAGAAGCCCACGGCCCTCTTGGGGAGAAGCCATGAAGTGAGGACTGAGTGCTGCCTGGAGGTGCTGGCTGGGATGCACAGGGAAGAGCTGTCAGGGTATGGGTCTAACACTGGAACAGCTGGGGGACATTCCCTGGATATCCCTGCATTGCCTTGAGGCTCTCCCATCCCTGTTTGATCCGTAAGCTCCAAGGAGACATGTTTCCCAGCCATAATGCCTTCTGATCCCAATCTCTTCTACTCTTTTCATTGGCAAGAGTCATTCTCACCCGGGTTTTCTTATATAATAATTATAAACTCATTCAGGGCCTGTGAGTGAAAAGGCACACATATACATTCAGGTCTAATATTCACTGAGCAACCATCAGCACAATGGTATGTGACCTCTTTGAATGCTGCACTAATGCTCCACTGTCTAGAAGGAGGCCAGACTGCTCTGGGGACCAGGTGCAGAGGGTGCCCTCAAGTGTCTAGTGTCAGAGAGAGAGGGGCTACTCCACTTTGGCCAGGGTGAACTTGAGTTGGTGATGACAAACATCTGCAGCTAGTCTATTTTTCTAATCTCACCCTCCAAACAGCCCCATCTTCTTGCAGGGAGGATGGGTGAAGGCATTTTCAAAAATGGACATCACATGTGACAAACAGGCAAAGGACCCTGACAGAGCCACAAAACTGACACGCTCATGAAAACTCAGACCGCTGACAATGGTGAGCGCCGACCAATTCAGCGCCAGGCGTGGAGGCTTCTGGCAAGAGTGGTGGGCTCTGTGCGTCCTGATGGTGGCAGCAGAGACCAGCTTGGGAGCCACCTGGCTCCTCTGCCCTAGCCCATTATGGCCTGAATCCAATCAATTTCAGTTCTCAGCACTTCTGAAAACGTGCGTGGCTTAGAGTGTCTGGCAGGGCTCAGGAGAGAAAAGCATTTCTCAGCCCCGGGACACATATATGCCTCCAGGCACTGGTTGTGGCTTGCAATCTGGGAGGGCAGGTGAACGGACACCCTCCCTCCTTGCACAGGCCTGGGATCTGCCTTACTCAACTCCCACTTCTACCAGGAGCAGAGGATCACCGCTGCCCAGCACCCCGCCCATCTGAATTCTGACTCTGGTGGCTTCAGAGAAGCAAGGTAGGGGCCAGTGCTGGTATGAAATGCCAGATGAGAGGAAACTGATGCATGCACTTTACTCCTGACTCAGAGTGCCTGAAATATCTGGCAAACTGGCAAAGGATGAAACCCTTCTTTGAGGTCTGTAGAGTAGCTTTAAGATAAATGAAGCCACTGAGAAGGTCCAAAACAAGGGGCCCTTAGACGTGGAAGAGGTCTGCTTTCCTGATAACTAGAGTGGTGCTGGGCTATGAAAACAGTCCAAATAGATGAGGATAGTTCCTGAGAGCACAGGGTTCTGAAGCTGGACAAATATTCTTCCACCTTAATGGCCCTCTCACTGGAGCCTTCACAGGGTTAACGATGGTCCCGCAGGAGTTGGGGCCATGACTGAGGACATGGAGCTGATGTGGAGGCAGTCAGGGCCAAGGCAAGAGCCTCCTTGTGTATAGTGGAAACGCAAGACAGACATCAAAGGGAGTGGGGTGTGCGGTTCCCAAGGGGCTACCAGAGTCCACTTTTATTAAAAGTTTGTGTCTTTCTTTAGAAAGTAATATGTTCCATCTCCAGCACCTGAAGGCTCCTTTCAGGGTGCCAGAAGAATCCTCAAGGGACAGTCCCAGGCTGTGTCCTTCCTCCTGTCTTGGCTGACATTTTTATGCATGGTTTAGGCAGCCCATGGGCTTTCCAGCTTTGCAATAAGATCTGATCTAATTTCAAGCTTATACATAACAGAAGGGCTGGGGGAGAAGTAGGAGTTCTTTTAGAATTGCAAAATCCAGGTGGGTGTAGCCTGTGGGGTGCAGGCTATCCAGCTCAAAGAGGGAGGCCCATATCTCAGATTCCCTAATGCTCGGCACAGTGTCTGGCACACAATGGGCACACAGGAAATCCTGCACTGAATCAAACAGATTTTGTATTACCAGATCTAGGCTGACTCACTGTGTGGTCAGGACCTTGGGTCAATCACTTCACCTGGTGACTCACTCCCTACCTGTAAGGTGTGGAGGACAGCTGGAGTCACTGTGGCACCTGTGTGTTTAGCAGTGTGTTTGCTTGTTCCTGCTTTTATGTCTCTGGCTGGTCTAAGATGGAATGATAAAAAAATAACGGAATGCACTTTGTAAACGAGAGCATCCTAGACACATGTAAAGATTGGAAAATTAGAAAGCTGTCTCTACTGTAGTTACTTCTCAGATATGACCAACCATTATTAAGAATTCATTGGCTAATAGGGCTACATTTTCTCATGATCATTCTTCTGTTTTAGAAGTGGGCAACTGCAGTTTTAAGAATAAATGTGTAAATGTGTGTTTTCATGAGAGACAATAAAGCTGTTTTCATTAAGAATGAAATATGCAACTTGCAAACACTTTTACTTTTCTTGAATTGGGTCCTTCAGCAGAAGCAGTTTGCCCAGCCCTGACATGGAAAGTTTACTTTGCTCATCAACCTGAAGGAGACCGAAAGCTATGAGAGGCGGCTCCTGAAAAGAATCTAGACTCCGGATATAAAAAGATCTTGCAACACAAGGCCAAGTGGAAATCATGGTTCGCATTAAAGGCATAAACCTCCTGCACTAACAACCCAGAGCAGGAGGAAAAGCTGGGAGACCTGGCTCAGCAGCCTTCCCTGAGGGAAGCCTTCGGGGCTTTGTTCCTCTTGAGATCAGGGCAAGCCTATGTATGACCTGAAGCCAATACAACCAGCAGAGCTGATGCCAGTGCTGGCTGCCTGAGTGCTACTAAAGAAAGAGTCCACCATCGGCTCCCTCTTCCGTAGCCAGACACAGGTGGAATGCTGTGCTTCCTTTTGGGAGACAAAGCAGAAGCTACCCCAGAGGGGGCAGATGGGAGACAGGCCCAGGCAATGCAGCCCTACAAAGAAGACTTGAAGGGCCGGGGCTGAGCAGCTTGGATGAAGAGAAGGCTGCCTTTCAGAGCTGTTTCAAATGTTTCAGACGTTGCTAGACAAACTAGAGTTGTATGGCTTCAGATGGCACAGCTTAGGGCCATAGAGTGGGAATCACAAGAAGGCAAACTTTAGGCCCCCAGGAGAGCTGGACAACAACCTGGAGGGTCAGAGGAGAATGGGCTGTCCAAGGAGCGGGGATATGAGGGTGGGGCAGTGTGGCCATCCCTGGAAGGGGTAAGGGAGTGGCAGATGGTAACCATTTGGGGTGGGGTGTGGCTGAGGATTCCTGCAAGGCTATCAGAGAAACTCTAAGAATCATAAGAATCAAAGCTCAAGTACATGAGGGAAGACATAATGAAATCCCTAAAGTTCTGAGAGGTTGTACCAGATTCTTTATGGAGAATACAGAGAGAATGCCTCCTGACTCCTCATTCACAGAGTGCCAGGCAGCAGCAAGGAGAAGCTGGTGGCCTTGGGAGGGCAAAAACTAAGGACAAGGTCCACAATGCAATCAGCTCACATCACCTACGAACAAATAAAGTGGGGTGGGGGTGGAGAGTTGCTAGAGTTTACGTAACTCTCAAGCCTTAATTTAGCTGCAAGAACTAGGTTTTTGCCAAAGCTATAGAACTTCCCACCAGATGAAAGCTTTATCTCTTTTTCTTTCTTAGGAGAAGAGAGACAGAAGGAGAGAAGAGGGGCAGGAGGAGAGAAAACACAAGAAAGAGGATGGAAGATAAAGAGGAAGGTGAGGGGTTTGCTAGTTGGAGGCTGTAAATTTTGAAGCATCGACATTGACCTACGGTGTCTTGGTGCCAGGTTGCTAGAGGCATTGGCAGGCTACCTTGAGGCAGAGTGGTGTCATGACAAGGGCACTGGGCTGGAAGACAGCTGCTACAAGCTCTCAGCCCAGCCCTGCCTCTCACTAATTCTGGGATCCTGGGTGAACCATGTCACTGCTAGCTTGGCATTTTTTTTCTGCAAAATGCAGGGTTGGATTAGACTGCCTGTAAGGTCCTCCCCCAGCTCCTGGGAGTTGTGACTTTATGATCAGCAGGCATTCAAGCCATGGCCAGGCAGAGCTGAGGACTAGGGTCAGGGATAACCTGTCCTGATACCTAGTTTCCTGAGATTCTGGGAATTTTTGTAGCCCACTTGGCAAGGATGCCAAATCAGGGACAAAGGAATGCTGGGGTTGAGCCAGTGATGTGGTAGAGGGAGAGGATGGGTGGGAGAGGGCGGCACTTACAGCAGGAGGAGATGGGCACGCTGATGGCCAGGATCACCCAGGCGATATCCATCTTGCTCAGGCAGATGGTGGCTCTGTGCTGCGGTTTGTCCCCCTCGGCCACATGGGAGATGTTCCCTGCTGTCCCAGGCTTCCAGGTCCCGGCGGGGACCAGGCGGTTGAGGAAATTGCCTGTGGCTGTGGATACCACTGTGGAGAGAGGACTGGGCACCCGGTCGGTCATGGTGAGGGTGGCCACAGTCTCCTCCTTGGCTCCAGAAATAGTGCTTTCTGAGACCCTGGAGGGATGGGTTGGAGCTTGTGGGGTTGTGGATGCTCCCTGAGGAATCCCCTGGGAAGGGGCTGAGACACTGGTATCGAAGGCAGCTGGGGTGGGCCCCGTGGCAGCCGTGAAGACCCCAGAGCTGGTAGACAGAGGTCTGCTGGTGCCAGGGGTAACAGTAAGCCAAGAGTCACTATGGCTGGGGCCATCCTGTGGGTCACCGTGGTGGGGGCGCTGAGAAGGCACTGGGGCAGCTTGTGGACTGACAGGGGCACCTGAGGCTGCTGTGGCATCTGGTGTCCCTCCTTGGCTGGTGAAGGTAGAACCACCCCCCTGGGCTGCTCTGCGAAGGCCTGGCTTGTCCTTTGCAGGCCCCAGGGAGGTGGTGGTGGGTGCCCATGAGGTATTGCTGGGCACTGTGGTCGCAGCCACTGTCTGGGGCTGTGGTGAAGAGGAGTAGCCCCAGAGTGGGGTCCTGGGGGTGAGGGTAGAGGGCTCCGGTTCCACAGACCCTGTGAAGTTGCCCTTGTAGATCTGAAAGATTTTCCCCAGGGGCCGCTTCTGCCCCAGAGGTGTGGAGCTTGGATTTCGTCCTCGCTGTCCTTCTTTACTCCTGGAGTGGCCACCAGGTGCAGGCGGGACAGGGCGTGATGAATTACCAGCCCCTTTTCGGGAAGAGCCTGGGGGCCTGGGGGGCCTGCGTGTGGTAGTGCGGGGGGGCGCTGTGGTGGGGCGGCTGGTGGCCCCCGGTGGCTTTGTCAGCAGGATGGTGGGGGCAGCCTGCCCTCGAGGGCGGCCCTCTGGCTTGGAGGATGTGGTTGCCATGGCTGCTGGAGCGGGCCCTGTGGACAGGGAGCTTTCAGAATGGGGGGCGGTTACTGTCGCAGCGATGGTGGAGATGGTGTGCGTAGGAGGGTGCCCCTCTGCACGGGGTGTCGGTGTTGCCATGGGAGCTGCAGCCTGTGAGGGGGGTCCATCGGGATTGGGGGTCAGCATCACCACAGAAGTATGTCTGGTAGAGCTGTGGGGTGCTGTCACCATGGTTCCCGGGGGAGTGCCTGAAGGGAGGACCTGAAGAGATTCCCTGGGAGATGGTTCCTGGATGGCAAATGCCAGCGCTTCGGTCAGTGCCAAGATCAGCAGGAAACCTTGAAAAGGAGACAGAGAGAAGAGGTAAAATACTTGGGGAGCAGCATACAGCCTGGGCCTTTCTTACCTGTGGCCTAGGACAGTGCTGGGAACTCAGGAAACGTCAGGAGCATTCCTGAGCCCACACTAGTGCTCCTACACTGAACCAGAACTGTCTGTGGAGCTGGGGCAGGTCTATTAGGTAGGTGCTGCCTGGTACCTGCTGGAAAGAGAGACCAGCACCAGGGGAAGCAGAGCAGCTACCCTGGCCAGGCTCCTCCTTTCCCACATGCCTCAGAAACGCCATCAGCCCTCCCCACAAGGGCAACTTTTCAGAACAGGCTGGGGCTGGAGGTGTAGAAGGCTTGTGGCCTCCACATCTGCCTCTTCCTCTGCAGCCAGGAGTGGTCAAGGACAGCTTGCCTGTGGGGAAGCCTGTGTGAACTCTGTGTGAGCCACCCCAAGCCAAATGAGGAAGGCCTGGGTGGCAGTATGTACCAACTCTTATGCCCTTTTCTGAATCTTCCATTTATAAACTACACAAAGGTACAAGCAAACAGACCTCTGTCCCTTCAGGACCATTCGCCAAACAATTATGGAGGTTCAACCCTCTCCCTGACCCTGGAGGACACAAAAACGAACAGGGCAGTCTCTGGCCCTGGATAAGCTCGCACATATCCACAAACAATCCTAAAATAAGACAAAGATGTCTCAGTGCCATAGAAGAGTGACAGGCAGAAGAGGACCGGGGTCTAGAGAAGAGCAACCAGACCTGGAGCCCATAAAAGCACTTAGCACAGCCTGGAACAGAAGGTGCCTTCTACAAATGCCGGCTGGTGTCATGGTTGTTATTAACTGCTTTTCCTATGGCATTCATGTGGCTGAACTCTGAAAAATTGTCATTGGTGATATCCAGCCTTTTTGAGTAGAAGGAGCCCTTTTGAACATTAAAAAAAAAAAAAAAAAAAGGATTTTGTATGATAGCCAATGTGCATACTTGCAGTTCAAGAAAATGCACAAGGACAAAAACGTATATGTTTAAAAACATTTCTAGTTATGTGTGGATTTTATCAATCACAATAGCATGTGCCTATTTTTAAAAATGGTACCTCATGCAAGCATGACATGTAGGAGCCGTTGACAACACATGGGTTGGGAAGAGCCTGTCTCTACGGCTGAGGAAGGGCCAACAGTCCTCTGAGGCCTGATTCTGACCTGTTAGCACCTCCTTGTTCATGGATCCCCTTCTTTGTCATCCTCAGGCAGTTCCTTCAGCCCCTGCTAGGCTCCTCTGACTATGGAGAGAGATCTCTGTCTGCGTCTAATTACTCTCTCAGAGCGTCTTTCCTCCATCAGATTCCAGCAGGACAAACGGCCAAAGCAGGGGCCCCAGCTGTGATTCCCAGGTGTCTGATGGAGAAGGCAGGGCCCTGGCGAGAAGCAGAGATGGGGAGGAGATCTCCAGGCATGCCTTTGACACAAGGCCCAGGATCACCGTTTGGTGTGTGGTGGAGCCTGGGCATGGGCCTGTGTCCTCACCCTGCACTTCTAAATTGGTGGGGAGTGGGAGGCTGCGGGGGACTTTAGATTGCACTGAGGCTGTAGCACCCACCAACTCTAGGACCAAAAATTTGCCCTAAACAATCTATTTTTTTCTAAACTTTCATTCATGATCTAGACTAGCGGTCCCCAACCTTTTTGGCACCAGGGACAAATTGTCTTCCACTTGGTTTTGTGGAAGACAGTTTTTCCATGGACTGGAGTTGGTCGGGGGGGGTATGGTTTTGGGATGAAACTCTTCCACCTCAGATCAGCAGGCATTCAATTCTCATCAGGAGCACGCAACCAGATCCATCCCTTGCATGTGCAGTTCACAATAGGGTTTGTGCTCCTATGAGAATCTAATGGTGCCGCTGACCTGACAGGAGGCAGAGCTCTGGCAGTAACGCTCTGGCGGTGATGCTCCGGTGGTGATGCTGGCTCACCGGCCTCCCACCTCTTGTGGTGCAGCCTGGTTCCTAACAGGCCACAGACTGGTACTGGTCTGTGACCCAGTGGTTGGGGACCCCTGATCTAGACCACACACCGACAGCACATTCTGTGTATTCGAGTCAATCCTAAAACCTGTTTACTGAACACTTGCCCTGGCCCAGGCTTTCATGCTTTAATCCATATGACCACTTGGTGGAGCATGAAATTGAGGTTTGGGGAGATTAGGCAACATGTGGAAAGTCACACAGTAGCAGAAGTATGTGAAACAAGGGTTGTCTTTAAAGTGCATGCTTATCCTGGTCAACCACTATCAATGATGCAGAAGGAGGAAGAAGAGGACAGTATGTTGCATCCCAGAAGAATTAATGTGCTGTTATGCTCTGACCTGCTCAGGGTTATTCTGGTGCCCCTATCCTGCCCACAGCTTAACACCAGAGAGACAATCTATTCCTAGGGCTAGTGGTGGTGACCTCCATGTTTTGATGGACATTCCCTTTCAAGTGTCTGTTTAGCTCACAAGTGTTAAGTGTTGTTAAGGACTGACTTATGCACCCCCAAAATCCCTATGTTGAATCCCTAATTCCCAGTACCTTAGAATGTGACTATATTTGGAGATAGGGCTTTCAAAGAGGTAATTAAAGTAAAATGAGGCCAAAAGAGTGGGCCCTAATTCGATCTGACTGGTGTCCTTCTTAAGAAGAGGAGATTAGGACACACAGACATCTGGAGCACGTGTGCACAGAGGGATGATCATGTGAGGACACGGCAGCTAGAGGACGCCATCTGCAAGCCAAGGAGAGAGGACTCGGGGGACTCCAACCCTATTGGCGCCTTGAATTTAGACTTCCATCCTCCTCAAATGTGAGGAAGTACATTTCTGTCTGTGGTATTGTGTTATGGAAGCCCTAGCAAACTAATACACATGCCTTATGTTAAGAGATCCTCTGAAAAAGGAGAGACAGAGACAGGGCTTTTGTGCAGGAAGTTTATACTGGAAAATGATCTGTGGGGTCAGCCGTGGGGGTCTGAGATTAGTGAAACAGGGAAAACCAATCTGAGGGCAGGTTATGAGCTGGT
This sequence comes from Homo sapiens, assembly GCF_000001405.40. NCBI lineage: Eukaryota > Metazoa > Chordata > Mammalia > Primates > Hominidae > Homo > Homo sapiens. The sequence continues at coordinate 133,376,702 of NC_000003.12, read as the reverse complement.
CCAGGTGGGCACCTCAAACTCACAGGGGACGTCAGTGGAGCTGAGTAGGCTGCACCTCAAATTGTCTGCCTGAAAAGAACACTCACCCAGAGGCTCCCATATTCACTGATCAAGGGCTGCTCCTGGGATGCTCATCACTGCACTTCCTGACTGACGCCAGGTCTCCATTAGCTGGATCAGAGAAGTTCTGGGCCATAGGGCTGTCAGGTTCTGCCTGCACCCAGCTGGTGTTTGCTGCAACAGCTGGAGTTAAAATTAAGGGCCCGGGGAATCTCTGGGGCCAGGCACCAGATGTGTCAGATACAATAAAAGACCGGAGACCAAGGACACAGCAGTCTTTTGGAAGCAACATTGGCTGACCCCAGGGACAGGCCCTCAGGTGGGAGAGGAGCCACCATGGCCTCTAGGAGAACTTTTGCGGCACTCCAGAGGCAGAGAGAGGGGTTAATACAGACTGATCTTTAAAACACTCAGGGAAAAAAATTCCCCTGACTTTCCCATCACTGGCATTCCAGGAACTAACATCCTCCTAGCTGGGAAGCCTTTGACTGGAATCCTTGGTGCTGTAAGATACACAGCCTAAGTAAATATGTTTGTCTTTGTTGCTGCTGCCTATTTCCCCCACTCAGCTATCAGCATCCCCTGAAGTTATTGTTCTCTCTAGAACTGTAGAGTTACCTCTTAGCCCTTTCTTCTTTGGACTTTAGAGTACATCATCTTTGGCACAATGAACGGATACTGCCACCGTGGGTGCCAAGGGATTTTTACCTGGAGGATGATGTTTACATGTTACAGTGAGAGGGGATCTGGCATTTCACCTAATCCAATCCCCTCATTTCACAGAGTGGGCAACAGAAGGAGGGAAGTGACTTGTCCAAGAACACATTGCTGGTTGGGGACACAGCCTGGACCACAGCCATTATTTCAAAGCAACTTTTCATTTGTATAATAAAAATCCCTACAATGTTGTGCTAGCCAAATACCACCTCCAACCTCTACTGTCACCTTCAATATGGAAATCAGACAAGCATTTACCTCTCTTCTTTGGCACAAAAGGTTAACAACTGAATGCTATGCACACTGTCACAATAAACATCTGAGGCCTTCAACCCAGGGCTTCCCTAACACATGCAAATTTTCATTCAAGGCCCTTTGTGCTGGACTACACACTCCCCCTCCCCACAATCTGAGGCTACTGCCTCTTTGCATATTATTTGCATGGATTTGCATAATGGACTCTAGAGGCTTTAATTCCAAATATGTAGTAGAGACTAAAGCTAAAACCTAGCTTCACATGCTTGAAATGTGGAACCGATTTTTAAAACGTGTCTGAATATGGACAATTGTTGTGGGGTGGAATCTACATATTGATGGGTGTCCAGACATCACAAGAAGGTCTCCTCCTACTGAAAATTCCAATGCATACATGAGCTCAGGACCCAAGGGAAGGAAAGGTCCTCCTCCTTCTGTTTATTTGGTTGGCTGCCTGCAGTCCATATTGGGCATGACATTTGCATCTGGCAAAGGCAACAAGGGAATTGATGAAAAGAGAAATGGCTAATATGTACTATACACTGCTCAAAGGGCTAAGCCTGTACTGACATATTTAATTCTCACAGCAACCTCATGAAGCAGGTAGTATTATTAGCTCCCTGTTGCAATTGAGGAAAAGAAGCACAGAGAGGTACAGGAACTTGCCCATGGTCATATAGCTGGGGAATGGCAAGCTGCAATTTGTTCCTAGGCAGCTTGGCTGCAGAGTCTATGCTCTCGACTACTTTCATTTATTGTTCTGCTCTACCCATCTCCCCAGGGGGCTCTGCCATTCAAAAGCAATGATTCACATCTTTGGAGAACTGATTCTCTATTGTTGGTCTCTTGACTTTTCTTCTGTCTTGTTTTTTTTCTATCTCTATTCCAGGGCTCTGTATGACATATTTGGTGTTCTTTTAACAACCCAGTAAATTAAATTCATTTTGCAAGTAACCGGGGGAGCTTGTAGTAGTACAATAAAAGGACTGGAAGCCCCTGATTTAATTCTCTCCTCTTCCCCAATCCTAACATCTCATACACTCCATTGTTTGGTAGAATAAAAATTATGTATATAAAAACCACAAAATTATATATGTGTGTGTGTGTATATATATATATATATATATAACAAAAATTATATATACACACATATACATACACACTTTCTCTTAAAATTGCTTATATACACACAAGGCATATTTGTTACACAGAAAATTCATAAAAATAGAATTTTATCTTTTTTTCATAATTTTAAGTTTCTTCTAAGTAGATCTTCCTTCCCCATTAAACTAGGTTTTCTACTGCAAGATATTTTGTGCATTGCTGTTTTAAACCCTTTTAACAGCGAATCATAGCAGTCTGAGAAGTCTTCTGAACCATCCTGGACTCTTGGTGTGATTTTAAATTGTGTCTACAAGTTCTCTGACATTCTTCCCACCAAGAGGTAGAGTCTGTTTCCCCTCCCTTTGAACCTAGGTAGGCCTTTGTTACTGCCTTGATGAATACAATGAGGCAGAAGTGACACCCTACATCCCTTCTGAGGCTACAGCCAAAAAGCTCATGCAGCTTTTACAGGTTTCTCTTGGGGGCTTTGGCCCCCCGTAAGAACTCCAGTTCCCTCAAGGTGGCCACATAAAGAGACCTTGCAGAGAGTAACAGGAACGCCTGAGGAGACCCAGCTGTCCCAGCCCCAGCCAGGCACCGGACATGAAAGTGAAGAGCCTGCAAGATGACCCTGGCCACTGCTGGACTGCAATCACCCAAGAGATCCCAGATGAGAGCTGCCTAGCTGAGCCTGGTCAACCCTAAGATTTTTGAACAAAATAAATGATTGTTACTGCTTTAAGCCACTGTTTTGGTTTCTATTATCAATAGGTAACTGGAACACTTGGGAATTTAGCTTCTGCAATTGATGTTTCAACAACAAAAGAAAAGAGCATCTAAGCACACTAAGTCTGACCATCAGGGAGTTTGTTTTCTGCATGAGCAACAGCACACAACCTTGCCAGGAAATGGGCTTTTCTAATTTCAAGATTATTGTTCTTTAATTGGAAGGGATGTTGGGACTCTGGTATCAGCTCCTCCACTTTACAGATGAGAAAGCTGAGGCCCAACAAAGTGAAATGATTTACCTTGGCCACACAGCTACACACAGGGTTAGGGACAGGGAGGGACTCAGGCCAACTCATTGCCTGCCAATCCCATTAAGGTGCCAAACTCATACTGTATCTATCTATCTATCTATCTATCTATCTATCTATCTATCTATCTATCTATCTATCTATCATCTATCTATCTAAATTTCTTTTTTTTTTTTTTTTTGAGACAAGGTCTCACTCTGTGACCCAGGCTAGAGTGCAGTGGCGTGATCACAGCTCACTGCAGCCTTGACTTCCTGGGCTCAAGTGATCCTCCCACCTCAGCCTCCCGAGTAGCTGGGACTACAGGCACACGCCACTGTGCCCAGCTAATTTTTGAAATGGGGTCTTGCCATGTTGCTGGTCTCCACCTCCTGGGTTCAAGCAATCTGCCTGCCTTGGCCTCTCAGAATTTTGGGATTACAGGCGTGAGCCACTGTGCCTGGCCAGTGTTCTTTTTCTACTCACTGTGGTTCCAGTGTTCTAGTATGGTCCATCTCTGAACTCCAATGATTCCTTTTATTAAAGATCAAATATAAACTTCTAATTCCTTGGAGCATGGTTTCCCTTAACCAAAAATAAATATGTATCACTGACTTCAGGGTGAGCTGGGTGATTGATCTTAAGAGGCAATCCATGCCTGTGACTTCACTTCTTTATGAAACCAAGGAGTTTTGAGTGCAAATCTTTTCTGCTTCCCTCACTACAGGTTGCCACATTTAAAATGTTCCCTACTATAAAATCCTGCTGGGAACATGCCTCAGATAACAAGGCTGAAGGACAGAAAGTTCTGCTTAGAGCTAACTGGGACCATTGTTTGGTAGATTACAGACATCTCTGAGATTACTGGTTCAACAGCTAGACTGATGAGGTCCATGACTTGTACTTTGGGAAACTGCTTCCCAGAGTACAATCTCTTGAATACATTCCAGCAAGAAAGTCATGTGAGACAGGGCTTGTGTGCCCCAGACACACCTATGGCCTTCAGCCAACATGAATTCACCTTGTGCTGAAGCTCTAGGGGGCTGACAGACCATGGTCTCCTAAAAAACATATGAACAAACACACGTGAACACACACCCACACAGAGTAAGCATAGGCCTTTTCCCAGGGGTAAGAAACAGGGAAGAATGACAAATTTTCAGCTCAAGTCCCCCATCATCTCCACATTCACATATGGTTAAAGTCATTTGTCTGAGGTCAAAATGACCACCATGTAGCAGTACCAGGATTTAAACCCAGGTTTCTCTGATCCTGACTGCCCAAGAAATCCTGGAAACTGAGAAATTTTTGATCCAGGAAAATGTCCTACATGAGTAGAGGAATGCTTGATGAAGATAATAATAGTAACAGCTGTGATGACCATGACAAAAAAACAAATCTTTCCCCAAATGCAGCAACACTTGGGGGCAACTATGCTGCCTTTAATCTTCAGCTTTAGCTTTTTTGCCTTAGTCATTTGATTCAACTTGGTACAAACATTTCTCACCTAGAACTCATCTGAGAATTCTTCCTGGGCCTTGAAACTGTTGTTAGGAATCCCTCCTTGTGTGCTTATAACCTATAAGCTTATCTCTACTCCAGCTCTCACCTCTCTGAATGGAAATGGCCAGTGTCTTGTCTGTTTCCCTGTCTGAAGTGGAAGCTGCCAGGGCTGGGACCATGTCTGATTCCATGTTATATGCCCATATCTAGTCTAGCACCTAGGCTACAAGACATATTCGCTGAAGAATAAGAAACCCTCCTAAATCACTTACTAGCCATCTGTGGCAGCTGGTGTTTTCCAAAAATGACCACCACAGTACATTCCAATGTGCTTACTCTTCCTAAATGTGACTTTGGCTCTCCTGTTGACAGGTAAGGTCTATGTTCCTTCCTTTAAATCTGGGTGGGTTTTTTTTTTTTTTTTTTTTTTTTTTGTGGGTTTGTGACTGGCTGCAGTGATGCTACCTGACTTCTAAGGTCAGATCATAAAAGGTGGTATGGCTACTTCTTGGTTTTCTTGTGGTGCTTACTCTTGGGAGCCAGCTGCCATGCTGCGAGGAAGTCTGAGCAGCCCAGAGAGGGGCCCATGTGGAAAGGAACTGAGGTTCACGGCCTTCAGCCTCAGCCTAACTTCCAGATGATAGCAATACAACCCTGTTGGCCATGTGAATGAGCTATCTTGAAAGTGGACCTTCCAGCCCATCAAGCTGACTTAGACTCAGCCCATGCAGCTGAGTCTGGGGAGAGCAGAGACAAGTGACTCCTCCCCAGCTACAGACTTATGAGCAAAATGAATGATTGTTATTGATCTAAGCCACTATGTTTTGCAGTGGTTTGTTAGGCAGCAGCAGTAACTGGAATACCATCCATGTAGAAGTGAAATCAAAGCTCTTTCAGTGACCACTCTGGATTGAGACATCAAGGGCTTTTAAGTGCTGGAGCTCAACGGGCTGATTTTAACTTGGGTTTCCTTACTGTCCTCCTTTCCTGACCAGACTCAGAGAAGGGAAACATCTCAATGCCAGGCTCTTTCTACAGCATCATGATTTCTCTGATCAACAGCCACAGGTTCCCTCAGGGAAATAAGGAACAAATGCATACTAGGAGGGCCATGAAGCTTCCTGGCACACACACACACACACACACACACACACACACACACACACACACACACACTATGGGCTGGGGAAACAGACGGAATAAAGCTGGAGGCTGTTATATGGTGTCTGCATATTGAGGACATAGCCATTTCCTTTAAGGAGCTAATAGTATAGAAGGAAATACAATTTGCGGTGACAGGAGCATAAACTCACATACGAAAAGTGTTCTCTCAAAGACTTGCCTCACATAAACAAAAATGAGAGTCAAATTAGATGGATGAAAAGGTCAACTCAGCCTCTGATAAAATAAAAAGATCATTAATATTCATGGAACATCTCTCTGACATCATGGGAAAGAACACAAATGCATCAGTCCAGACTGCCTTGTACCCTCCCAAACTAAAAGGAAGAAGCTCATAAAAACTGTTCCCTGCTTTACAGTAGAGAACCAGAGAGACACGACCTCAGCCAGGTGGTCAAGGCCAGCATCCACAGTGATAATGTCATGATGACAATATGTACCCTTGATATGAAAGAGGTGCTTTATCTCTGTAGTTTTCCCCTCCCAAACCTATAATCCCAGTATAGTTATAAGAAAAACATCAGACAAATCCCAATTGAGGGATAGTCTATAAAATAGCTGACCAGTACTCAAAACTGCAAAGGGTCAGAAGCAAAGAAGGTCTGAGCAGCTGTCACAGCCAAGGGGAGTGTAAGGGGACATGAAGACTAAATGTAATGTGGTATCCCAGATGACATCCTGGAAGAGAAAAAGGACATTAGGCAAAAAAAAAAAAAAAAAGGGAGTCTGAACAAAGTGCTACTTCAGTTAATAATAATGTATCCATATTACTAACTGTGACAAATGCACTACAGTAATATAAGATGCTAATCACAGAGGAAAGTAGAAACAAGGCATCTAGGAACTCTGCACTACTGTTGCAACTTTTCTGTATAGTTAAAACTTCTAAATTTTAAAAATATATTTTTAAAATGGTGCATGGATGGCAGACAGCAGGGACAATGCAATGTGAAGGCTACCCCGTGGGGTGGGCTCTAGAAGGGGACATAACTGAAGGGAGGCTTGTAGGCATCTTTCCCAGCACCCTGGTGTGAGATCATGTACCCACAGATGCGGGCATGCAGGTGGCAAAGTAAGGGTATGGTTGCTGAGATGCTCCCTGCCTTAATGCCAGCTTCTGGATCCTTGGATCTCTTTTAGCCTAGTTGATAGATTCTAATCAAATTTACCTACTGATGTGCTTTGGAGTCCACTTAGAGAGAGGAGGGAAAATTCTAAGACTTGCTTTATCTGTCTATATTTCCTGATTCTTTTTAAACATTCTAATTCAAAGTATGGAGTTAGGTGAAATGGTCAGAGAGACAACAACCTGAACATACAGTTTTTAACCTGTTCAAATTCCAACTGCGGAGTCAGGGTAAACACCACCCATGTAATATAAACAGCCACTACTTTCTTGACCAAGCAGGCTGAATGAAAATCAAAGCTTATTTGTCAGTACCACGGGGCTAGATTACCCTGTTGCTTAAATGTGGAAGCCACATACGATGCTGGACACGGATACGTCCAGTCTCGTTCACAATTTCTGCCCATACTCCCTTCCTGCTCGGTGATGATGTATTCATCTCCAAAACCCAACTTGACTGTCTCTTTGTCTTGGCAAGGTCAAGGTCCCTCAACTCCCCAGGTAGAAATGGTGGCTCCCTGCCCAGTGCTCCCAGACACTCTGTTCCTGTTCCTATTGTGACTCTTCCCCGCAGAGACCTTCGGTAGAGGGCATAGTGGGAGGGCCATGGGCTTGGGGTCAGTGGGATTTGCGTTCAATCTTGGCTTTGTAATTTTCTAGTTGTAGACTTCAGGCAAATTAGTTAAGCTTCGTTTTTCTCAGCTGTATGAGAAGGAAAATAATGCCTATGTGCAGAGTGCTTTTAGGGTAGGAATATGCGATTAAGATGCTTGGAAAGCCCCACACAGTGCCTCACATTAAATAGGTGATAACTCTTATTTTAGTTTCTAAACTAAACTTATACCCTCCCATGGGGCTGTGAGTTCTTGAACGGAGCCATCTGGAGCCTCAGAGCTTAGTTCACTATCTGATACATCATAAGAGCACAATAATACTTTTGAAACCATGTGAGAATGAAAGAATAATTCCACACATTTGAGTTATTTGCAGCTGAATGCTTACCACAAAATCATAGATGTTTATTTCTTTGGAGACAATGTCAATGAAAGCAAGCAGTAAACAACATCAGTCCTGTGACATGCCAATTCAGGGTGTGTGTGTGTGTGTGAGTGCATGTATTTATCTTTTTACTTTGCTTGCTTCTGTGATTAACATTAACTGCATCAAATGCACACACATCCCACAGGCCAGAGTGAGGCAGGAGAAAGCTGAGCTGGAACCTAACTCCTGTTGATCTGCTGCAGAGACCCTCTCATTCCACAATTGCTCCCGCCATGGTAAGCTCCATTCCTAATTACCTAGGCAAACTGGCCTGCATTTCTCTCCAGAGTTCTAAAGGATGGTGTGAGAGTGTCTGCCAAGATTTGGATTTTACAGAGACAAGTCTCAGCTTTTGCTTTCTGGTTCAAGGTTTATGCTTTTGGAAGGCTGTGATGACAGCAGCAGGAAATAGGACAAATAGGAGTTTTTGTTAGGGGGGCAGCTAATAGAACAGCCTCATGAAGGACCTAGGCACACCCTAGAGATGCAAGGGACAGGCCTGCAGTGGTGGCTCCTATAAACCCAGTGCACTGAATCCCCAGAGCTTGCAGCCCATGGCTTGGGGTCTGGTCCAGTGCACTCGTCAGAGAGCATAACAGGACCTTTGGGACTCCTAGGGAACCTCTTGGAGAGTCCTGGGACCTGCCTAAAGTACCTGACTTGAGCACACCAGCATCTGTGTACCCTTAGCTTCAAATTCTCCAAAGCCAGAAAAGGAAAAAGACACAATGTCCTGGCCTGATCATGCCTGAGAATCACTTACCTAAAAAGAACATTGGGGCTTTTGACCTGACATCCTCCCAGGCATGCTGACATCTCTCAGCACTTTCTCTCCCCTCACAAAAGAACTTGTTGAGGAGGAAGGAGAAGAGGCAGCGGCTAGTGGTTAGCAGAGACAGTGGCCAAGTGTCCAGGAAGAGGGGATGGGCAGGCCTACCTGAGGAAGGGCTGATGTCTAAGGAGGGGGTCTGCTCCCTCTGGCACACAGCCTGCCTGCTCCTGAGACCCTGTGGCTTCTCCTGGAGCACTGTGCAAAGCTGCTTGGTATTCTCACTTGGTTCTGTTGGATGGCTGCAAAGCTGTCTGGCCCTGCTCTCCTCAGTTGCCAAAGGTTCACTGCCGGCTCCAGTTTGCCTGGAACGAAACAGCTCAGGCAACACAGCTGTGCATCCTTGTGAGACTGCCTAATTTCCCATTTCAAGGCAGGATGCCATACCCCAAGGTGTAATTTGAGTTTTGGGCATAAGCTGAATTTTGCAACTGAATTCTGAAACTCAGCCCTCCAGGCTGTGCGTGCTTGGGAATTAAAAAGCTTTCTTCTCCTTTTCCCTCCTCCACTATCTACCACCCTCCCCAATATCAATACTGATACCATCATTAATGTTAAATTTCTATTTATTGAGTGTCTACTATGTGCTAGGCACTTGTATGGCTGCACCTGACAGCAATGGCTTACCTTAAGCCTATCCTGAGAATGACACTATGGTCTAAGAAGAATGTGTGCTTGGAATTCCAAGCTAAGAAATCTGGAAGTGGCCGATCTGGAGATTCATTCCTTACTTATGGGAAACATCTAAACCTCTGGCCCATTTCATGGAATGCAGGCTGTACAGGGGACTGAAGCCCTTTGTTTTGGGTTAAATGAAAGTTGACAGGTGGAGGTTGTTAGGGGGAGGGCGCTAAGTGAAAATGCTATATCAACTGCATGCTTTTTACCAGCAGATGCAGTTCTATCCAGCTCATCACCACTGGACTCCTCTGTATGTGAGTCCCCTCAATAAACCTGATGTCTCATTTGCTGGCTGCAGGTCTCTTTTTCAGCCTGTTGAACATGGTACCATCACTACTGAAGTCAACAAGGGTCCAGCATGACAACACTGTACTAATCAATTTCCCTGTATCATCTTAATCTTCACAAAACCCTATGAGGTAGAAAAGGACAAATCTTAACCCATGTCCTATGTGATTATAAGGGTACTCACCCTCCACCTTTTAATTATTCTCTTTTGGGCTACAAATCTGTGGATCTGCATACCTGAATGATTCACTGTGGCTTTCTGGTAGAAAAACTAATAACACCATTTGTCCATGTCAAGCCAAGGAGACAAGCTCAACATACAAAGAACAAGGAGAGAACAATGGAAGATGGCCTATAATTCAGAAGCACATTGGGTGGAGCATATTGCACATGTAGAAGCTTGTCACGGAACCCAAGAAAGCTGGAGGAACCTGGGAAGGCTTCCTGGAAGAAGGGAAAGCTGAGTTCTCTTATCACCACTCCACCATTTGTTCATGTCCTCATGTACATATTCAACAAACATTTATTGAGGGCTGAGTGTGGCTTTGTGTATCCCAGATAAACTAGTATCCTGATCTTAGCCATGGATCTCAGCTGCTACTATCTCATTCCCCACCATGGGCAATAAGATGCATACTGGTAGGGAAAATTCTGGCAAATTTTGTAAAGTTTATCCATAGGCATAAACACTTTACCCTGTGTTATGCTCAGAAGAGGAACACACATTTATTAAGCACCTACCACATCTGCAAATAACTTTACTCCCAAAAACTGATTTGATACTTAAGCAGCTTTTGTAAGGTGTGTTTCATTCCCTAAAACTAAAGTTCAGAGAGGTTAAAAGATTTATCCAAGGTCACACATTCAAGGTGGAGCCAAGATGCACAACTAAGTCTATTACTGTTTTTTTCATACTCCCCCACTTCTCTGTCTCCCTCTTTCTATTCTCAGCTGCAGACTCTGCCAGCTGCAAACTTCTTTAGTAGTTATTCCTGATTACTTCTGCTCCTGGTGAGCTCATCACCTGATTAAAGGGCTCCTAGCTTCACCAGACCTTGGAGATGACAAACAGATGACCCTGGAGAGGCAGGCTCTCTAGGGCTGTTCCATTTTGGTCTGGCCCCCATTCCAGCCGGGGATATAGTTCAAACCCTGACTCTGAGTTGAGCCCAAGAAAATAAGACCAAGATGAAAGCTTAAGTGCATCCCCTGAAAGGCTCTTATCTCCAGGCTAAGCTTGGAAGTGGGGAGACAGAGCACCACAACCCAACTTGGGGATGTTGTCTCTTGTAGAAACACCTTCCTCAGTAACAGAAGGGTAGCTGCCCCTATGTCCTAGAGAGCGGGAGTAAGAGAAAGTGGCTCCTTGCCTCTGAGATTTGCTTAGCTGATCCTCCCTCACCCCAACCATAGCTCTTAACAAACCCAGGTACGCATAAATATAAATACCACCCTATGTGTATTTCCTGTGCCCTCCCTTTTCTCTTTCCTGAGGAGTTATGGAGAGAAAATAAATGCCAGAATTACAGAAAACTAGGTATAAATCTACTCACTAGCTTTATGGCCTTGCATCTATTTCCCATATAAGCTGGCAGGGTTGGGATTCTGTCTAGCTCTTTCCATTTATCATGATGTCCTCTTTTTGGTTCTTTTAGATTTTGCATCGGGTTGATGTAGTGGATGCTGTAGTCCACTACCCAGATTCCTTCCCCAACCCACAACAATGAGGTTCTCATTCCGGAGCTGCTAGGAGGGATGCCAGATAATAGCACACAGCTGAACTTCTCTTCAGCTATTGCCCTCAGATTAAGAAAGCTGCCTTGCTCAAGGTTACACGCCTTTCCTGGGAAACCAGTATCCAATGACTGGTTCCTGTAAAAGGAATGGAGCTGCCTTAAAAGAGCTGCCTTGCTTCAATTTGGGAAGACTATGAAGAGCCATCCCAGCTCTGGAGTTCTCCGTAGGGTTGGGTAAGGACTTGGCGTGACTGTGTTGCAGCCCAACTTCCCCCCCTGCCTGATCCGGCTTCTCTTACTTTCCTGAAGGTGTTGATTCTGGCAGTACTTCTGGAAAACCTCCTGTATGCAGATTTCCAGGTCCTAATCTGCTTCCTGGGAACCAGGTCTGCCACAGATGATATTTCAATTAATGTTCATGATGAGGGAGACAATTCTTCCTTCTTGTCAATCCTTTCCCATGTCTTTCTCCACAGTATTCCTTTCATCCAATTTAACATCCCTTTAAGGATTTACCCCTTTCAGGTAGGCTTCCTTCATGTACTCCTTCCAGGTTCTGGTCACTCTAATCATGACTGCCACTCTAATAGATGGTATATAAGCCTTTTATTCTTGTCATTATGTATTTTCTCACATCCTTCCATTATCCTGGAAGCTCATTATGACTAGGCGATTTCAAATTTAATTTTAAAATATTTCCTCTCAGTCATATACAGTGATGGTTGGAGGCACTTAATCCTGTTGGAAGAACATGTTTGACAAATCCCTTGTCAGTGCTTCACCTTCTTCTCACTCATTTAATTCATCCAGCACACACTTACTGGCTGTCCTGTCTGAGCTAAGCATTGCCTATGCTATGGGACACACAAAGAAATAATGTTTCCTTCCTACTGTTCAGGGAGTTGTAGTTGAGCAGGAAAGGCTTGTGGTAAAGTGGCTGACCCTGAGGCCAGACTGCCAAGGTTCAAACTTCTCTCTCCCAATTTCTAGCTCAGTGGCCTGGGACAAGTTATTTAAGCTCTTTGTGCCTGTTTCCTCACAAGTAAAATGAGAATTATAACAGTAGCCACCTCATTGGATTATTGTGAAGACTAAAGGAGTTAACATGTAAGGAGTCTGTACCACTGTCTGGTACACAGTAAGCATTATTTAAGTCTGCCTTGCCCAATATGGTAGACACTAGCCACATTTGGCTATTAAGCACTCTAAATGTAGTTGTGTACCGTTAAGTATAAAATATTAATATATATGCAGTTTCAAAGACTTAGTATGAAACAAGGTAGAATATTCCATTAATTTTTGTATTGATTACATGTTGAATTATTTTTGATATATTGGGCTAATTATTAATTTTCCACTTTAATTCATGTGGTTGCTATACAAATTAAAATTATATATGTGGCTTGTATATTTCTATTGGACAGTACTGACCTAAGTCTTTGCTATAAAAATAATAACAGGCCGGGAGCAGTTGCTTATGCTTATAACCCCAGCACTTTGGGAGGCCAAGGTAGGCAGATTGCTTGAGCCCACAAGTTCAAAACCAGCTTGGGCAACATAGCAAAACCCTGTCTCTAAAAAAATGCAAAAAATTAGCTGGGTGTGGTGGTGCGCACCTGTCGTCCCAGTTACTCAGGTGGCTGAGGTGGGAGGATCGCTTGAGCCCAGGAGGCTGCGGTGAACTGTGATCACGCTACTGCACTTCAGCTTGGATGACAGAGCAAGATCCTGTCTCAAAAAAAAAAAAATAATGAAAAGCAGAACATAAGAAATACCATCATAAAGGTATATGTACTGCCAGAAAAACTATTCTAAGAGTGAACAACCAGCATCGGTATCACCTGGGAATTTGTTGGAACTACAGACTGTTGGGTCCCTGTTCCAGATGGACTGAATTAGAAACACTGGGGAAAGGCTCAGCAAGCTATGTGTCCAGGTGATTCGGATCTGACCAAAGTGTAAGAGGTACTTCCCTAAGGGAGTACAGAGGGATCACTAACCAATTCAGTTAGAGGAGAAGACCAAGTTGTTCATCACAATAGTATTGGAGAAAAGGCAGGGCAGGGAAGGCCACACAGAAATGGTCCACGCATGTAGTAAGTTTGACATAAAAGTAGTTAGGTGGCCTACAGCACATCTCCATCCCATTCTGCTTGGCTCCTTTAGATGCTGCTTTTTCTGGAAACAACACCCTCTGGCCCGGCTGGGTCCCCTGCCCTCTGCACCTTTTTAATCTAAAGAGAGCCAAGAACAAATTGGATCTAAACTGTGTGCCCTCAATGAAAATAATTTGCATTTGTAAAGCGTGACCTCAAAAGGTGTGTTTATTATTTCCTGTATTGTGCTAGCACCAGCAGGATGTGGGGCAGATGGACAACCCAGGTTCAGAGAGAGTGCAAGAGAGAAGCAGCAAGAGCTCAGGAGCCAGCTTGTGACAAGCGGATCAGCCTCTAAATAGAGCTGCTTCCTGAGAGCACCATAAGCTAGGGGAGGATTAGAGGTGGCTGCAGAGCTCCTTTCCTATTAGGAAAAGATTCTACACTAACTCCATGATTTTGCACTTCGTATTTATAGCCTTTATTTTATTTTGGGCTCCTACCAAATGAATGCGTTACAGCTGATAAAGCCCAAAATTTGCCCTTGGTCTTCAGTAGGGTCATAGAGAGGGACATGAGTCCAAAGAAGCCCCTGCACCATGGTGTGGGTATGACACATTGTGAATTAAAGGATTTGGTAGCTCTGGCCACATTTGTTTCCCTGGGGGAGTAGGAGTGGAGGGCTGGAAAGAAGGGGCTCCATGGGACATCATCACTGTGGAGGAGGCTGCAGGTTCAGAACAAACTCATCTTTCTACAAAAGCCTTTTTCACCCCACCCACAACCAGTTTCCTTTTTATTTTCAGCTTGTGTATTTGCAGGCATCTTTGCTCATAACAATGATATCATCTTCATGCACAGCGAATTATGTTGCGGAACTTTTGGGCCTGCAGCAAAGTTTCTGTTACAGCATTTCCTGGAAGTATCCTTGGGTCTGTGACCCTCATCTCCCCACAGCAGGAAGGGCAAGCATCACATCATCAGTATTGAAAGGTGCATCAGGTTTACTGGCAATAGCACTAATAATGCTAATTATAGAAGTGATAGTGAGGTGGGGGGGTGGTGATAGGAATGGTCAAATACATATCATTTATTTGGTCCTACTTTTTCCAGGTGTTAAGCAGTTTTCTACTATGCCAGGTTATATTTTCCAAACATGACTGTACCAAAATATCTCATCCCATAGGTTCTTACAATGTGATGTTGCTATTTACTGAGAAGTGGTGTCTGCATTCCCTCCTCTTTCATATGGCCAGGTTTTTGAGACTATGCAGAAGTTATTCCATGAGTTCCAAGCCCAGGTCATGAAAGATAACTTGTAATAAATCTGGCTACCCTGAAGCTGCCATGCTTGAGAGACCACACGAGATGGAGAGAGATGCTTAGGAGTCCCAGCTGTCCAAGCCTCCAGCTATGTGAATCTTCCCAGCAGCAACTGCCAGACATGTGAGTGGGCAAATCTTCAGGTGATTTCAGCCCAGCTGATGCCAACGGAAGCCGAGACAAGCTGTCCCCACTAAGTATTTTCCAGATTGCACACTTTCAAACAAAATGAATGGTGTCATTATTTTAAGATGCTAATTTTTGGGGTGGTTTTATTGCTCAGCATTAGTAAATGGAACTCCTCCGCTACCTCATTAAACCCACATGATAACCTTTTAAACTAGGTATTATGATCATAGTTATCTTACAGATGAGGAAACATACAAATGGATTAAGTAATTTGCCTAAAACTTCACAGCTGGAATGTAGCAGAGCTGAGCCACAGTCCAGGACTGTCTTGCTCTTAGTGCAGGCTCTTTGAGTCACACCTTACCTGGCTTGGCCACACTCTAATGCATGTGCTACAATCCCTAGTGGGTCTGTCGCAATGCCTAGAAATGTCTGCTAGATTACATATGACTCTAGATAGACAGCTATAAGCAGAAATGATTGCAAGGTTTAAAAATGTGTCATAGGAAAGACAACTTATCCTTAAAGGTCTGCAAGTAAGGTTGATTCCTATGTCCAGTATGAAGAGACACGATCTTGAAGTGGGAATAGGAACAAAGGATCCAGGTGGTCTTGAGGTTACATGAGGGCTGTGATGTCCTAGAACTCTAGTGGCCTTTTAGAGATCAGCCTATATTTTTTTGTTTGTTTTTACCATTCATAATAGTATTTTAATCAGGAAATGTGTTCTAAGAGTCAAATAGCTTCTTCACTGTCTCTTACCTTGAAGTCCAGTTGGTTTGTAAACTGGAGATAGCCCACTGGGGATAATCTTTCAAGGCTGCAGTGAGGTCTGATGTGCTGCTTACATTTTCACCAGGTGGTACACCCAAAATGACTTTGGGGCTACACTTGGAATTGGCAAGGTTCCAGAAAACAGAGGGACTATCATCAGAGACAGCGCACAAAAAGTGGGAGAAAGGTCACCAGCCTCACTCATGGTGAGTGGGAACCTTCAATCAGGTGAAGCAGCTTTGCTTCTGCAGAACTAGTTTTCAGACCAGATCCCTCAGCTGGCTTGGACAAAGAACAAATGCAGTTACGGGCTGCTCATTTGTATTTCTCTGGGAGTTCCAGAGAATGGATGCCTAGAGGGTGACAGTAACCTTCTGCAATCAACTGTAGGGCTGCTTGACCCCATTTTAAAATTATTGAATATCCCTTACTCCTTCATTGTTCCCTTTTAAGAGACATTTCTTTTCTTTTTAAAATTAACTTTATTGAGGTATGATTTACATACAATAAAATTCACCATTTTAAGTGCACAGATTGGCGAGTTTTGGCAAAAGTATACGCTTGTGTAGCCACTACTATAATCAAGACACAGAACACTTCTGTCTCTCCATAAAGTTCCCTTGTGTCCCTTTACAGTTAAATCTCCTCCCCAACCCTCACTCCAAGCAAATGATCTGCTTTCTATCACTGTAGGTTTCTTTTGTGTGTTCTAGATTTTTACAAAAATGAAATTAAATAGAATCTTTTGTGTCTGGCTTTCACCAAGCCTAACATCTGCGAAATTTATCCATTTGCTGCAGGTATCAGTGGTTTGCTTTTTTTTTTTTTTTTTTTTAACTGTTGAGTAGTATTCCATTACAGGGATATGACCAATTCGTATATTCATTCATCTGATGATAAACAGCTGAATTGTTTCCAGTTTAGGGCTATTATGAATAAAGCTGCTATGAACACTTGTTTACAAGTTCTTTGTGAGGACACATGTTTTCATTTATCTTGGGAAAATACCTAGAGATGGAACTCTGGGACACATGGTAAGTGTCTATTGAACTTGATTAAAAACTGCCAAACTGTTTTCCAAGTGCTTTACTATTTTACCTTTTGGTTTAAAAATTTAATTATGTTGACTGACAGATGGATTAATTGATTGTTTAGGTAATAAAGTATATTGGCATAATGCAAGAGTCAAGATGCAGAAAATAACTACTGTGTGATGTCTCTCTCCCAGCTTTAACCCGCCTGAAGGTGAGTAGCATTACCAGTTCCTCATGGACCTTTCCAGACACAATTAAAACGTCACAAGCAAACACTTAGCTACATTTTCCCTCTCCTACTTTTCACACAGATGAGTGTGTCCTGGACACACCTTGTTTTTCTCACTTAACAATGTATCTTGGCTATTGTTAAAGAGCCATTTCCCAAAGTGTGTTCTCAGGAGCTCTACCCATCACTCTGTACTTGTAAGAAAAGGGTTCCCAAATAAACTTGGGAAAATGCTGCAAACTATGGCAACCTCTTAGAAATTCATAATGCACATTAACTTATTAAAAACTCTAAGAAGTCCTGGAATTAAAAAGCAGGGTTTCCAAAATGATTTGACTATAGAATTTTCTTGCCAGCAATACCTATTTAACATTTTGCAGAATGAGAATTCTGTAGAATACTCTCAGGGAGGCACTTATGGGAGTCAACAACTTTACTTTCTGTAAATGATCAGATAGTAAACATTATAGGCTTGATGGATATGGTCCTGACCAAAATTACAGTACTCAATTTTGCCACTGTAGGGTGAAACCACAGATCTGATGTAAATGAACGGGTGTGGCTGTTTCAATATAACATTATTTATAAGAAGAGATGGCAGGCTGTAGTTTGCCAACTCCTGATCTAGAGATGGCAGGGGTTGAGGTGGGGAAGGTTCCCAATAAGTTTTCAAAGTGTTTCCCCAAGGCCTGTTTGTGTTGCTTTCTCCCTACATGCTCCCATATCCTTCTCCACCCCAACTAATCTGCCACCACAAAGTTTAGAAGAGGGATGGGAAGGGAGGAGAGAAGTGAACAGAAGCAAAAGAAGTAGCTGTGGGTTAGGGGAGAAGGGACAGGAGAGAGTGAATTGGAGGGAAGGTGTCCTGGAGCAGAGGCTGGAGAAAATAAAAACTTCCAAGAGCAGAATGAATAACTGCTCAAAGAGAAACCACTTCCCTACCCTCTTTTCCTCTCCTTCCCCTCTATTCCCCTTTATGCCCAGAGAGTCCACCTGGAGCACTGGACGAAGGCATCCGTGCAGCACATTCTCATGCTCTATGTGAATAAATACATAATGGAGGCTTTTGGGCTTGGGCTTCAGCATCTCCATCTGTAAGACTATAGACTTGGCCAGGCACGGTGACTCACACCTGTAATCCCAGGACTTTGGGAGGCTAAGGTGGGTGGATCATGAGGTCAGGAGTTCGAGACCAATCTGGCCAACATGGTGAAACCCCGTCTCTACTAAAAATACGAAAATTAGCCAGGCGTAGTGGTTCGCGCTTGTAATCCCAGCTACTTGGGAGGCTAAGGCAGGAGGATTGCTTGAACCTGGGAGGCAGAGGTTGCAGTGAGTTGAGACTGTACCACTGCACTCCAGCCTGGGTGACAGAGCAAGACTTCATCTCAAAAGGAAAAAAAAAAAAAAGACCATAGACTCCTTAATAGCTTCCTTCTTCAAAGATGCCATGAAATTTTTGTTGCCCAAGTCAAAACCATCTGAGGACAAGTGAGCTTGTGGCCAGGTAAGTGGTAGACATATGTGATTCTGGGAGTAAATTTTATGAGTTTTTCATGTAACAACTGGGCAACAGGTACAATAGTTATCTGAAGAAACTATAGCTTGTCTTTGTTTTTCATTTTCTATTATTAAGCTATATTTTTTAATCAGTATTTTTGGGGTACAGGTGGTTTTTGGTTACATGGATGAGTTCTACAGTGGTGAATTCTGAGATTTTAGTGCATCTGCCACCCGAGCAGTGTATGCTGTACCCAGTATGTAGTCTTTTATCCCTCACCCGCCTCCCAACGTCCCCCTACACTCTGAGTCCCCAAAGTCCATTATATCACTCTGTATGTCTCTGCATCATCATAGCTTAGCTGCCACTTATAAGTGATACCATACAGTATTTGGTTTTGCATTCCTAAGTTACTTCACTTGGAATAATGGACTCCAGCTCCATCCAAGTTGCTGCAAATCACATTATTTTGTTTCTTTTTATGGCTGAGTAGTGTTCCATAGTGTATGTATACCACATTTTCTTTATCCATTCGTTGGTTGGTGGGCACTTAGGTTGGTTTCATATCTCTGTAATTGTGAATTGTGCTGCTATAAACATGCATGTGCTCGTATCTTTTTCATATAATGACTTCTTATTCTTTGGTAGATACCCAGTAGAGGGATTGCTGGATAGAATGATAGATCTACTTTTAGTTCTTTAAGGAATCTCCATACTGTTTTCCATAGTGGTTTTACTAATTTACATTTCCACCAACAGTGTAACAGTGTTCTTTCACCACATCCACGCCAACGACTATTGATTTTTGACTTTTAAATTATGGCCATTCTTACAGGAGTAAGGTGGCATCTCACTGCGGTTTTAATTAGCATTTCCCTGATGATTAGTAATGTTGAACATTTTTTTCATTTTTAATGGCCATTTGTATATCTTCTTTTGAGAAATGTCTTTTTATGTCCATTGCCCACTTTTTGATGGGATTGGTTTTGTCTTGCTGATTTAAGTTCCTTGTAGATTCTGGATACTAGTCCTGTGTTGGATGCACAGTTTGCAAATACTGTCTGTTTACACTGCCTATTTTACTGTGTAGAAGCTTTTTAGTTTAATTAGGTCCTATTTATTTATGTTTTTGTTGCATTTGCTTTTGGGTTCTTGGTCATAAATTCTTTGCCTAGGCCAATGTCCAGAAGAGATTTTCCAACGTTATCTTCTAGAATTTTTATAGTTTCATGTCTTAGATTTAAGTCTGATCCATCTTGAGTTGATTTTTGTATAAGGCGAGGGATAGGGATTCAGTTTCATTCTTCTACATATGACTTGCCAGTTTTCCCAGCACCATTTATTAAATAGGGTGTCTTTTCCCCAGTTTATGTTTTTGCATGGTTTGTAGATCAGTTGGCTGTAGGTATTTGGTTTTATTTCTGGGTTCTCTATTCCGTCCCATTGGTCTAAGTGCCTGTTTTTATATAAGTACCATGCTGTTTTGGTAACTGTAGCTTTGTAGTATAATTTGAAGATTGGTAATGTGATGTCTCCAGATCTGTTCTTTTTGCTTAGTATTGCTTTGATTATGTGGGCTCTTTTTTGGTTCCATATGAATTTTAGAATTGTTTTTTCTAGTTCTGTGAAAAATTATAATGGTATTTTGACAGGAATTGCATTGTATCTGTAGATTGCTTTTGGCAGTCTGGTCATTTTCACAATATTGATTCTTCCCATCTATGAGCATGGGATGTGAATCCATTTGTTTGTGTTATGTGTCATTTCTTTCAGCAGTGTTTTGTAGTTTTCCTTGTAGAGATCTTTCACCTCCTTGGTTAAGTATATTCCTAGGGTTTTCTTTTTTTTTCAGCTGTTGTAAAAGTGATCGAGTTCTTGATTTGATTCTCAGCTTGGTTGTTTTTGGTGTATAGCAGTACTACTGATTTGTGTACATTGATTTTGTAACTTGAGACTCTGCTGAATTTGTTTACAGATCTAGGAGCCTTTTGGATAAGTCTTTAGGGTGTTCTATATATATGATCATATCATTGGAGAACACTGACAGTTTGATTTCCTGTTTTCCAATTTGGATGCCCTATATTTCTTTCTCTTGACTGATTGCTGTGGGTAGGACTTCCTAGTTCTTCTTTTTTAGGTCCCATATTTCATCAAATGTAAGAAGAAATACACTATTTTTTTGTGCCAGTTAGAAAGAAAAAAGCTAGCAATTAAACTATGTCACAATGGTTTCTTCCATTTACAATCTTTATTCTATCCTTATTGAAAGAACTCCTTTAGACTTATCTAACCAGTTTATCATACATCCCTGCTGCCTTCAGTTATAGTAAGTAGTGTGTAACTGCCAATCTTTTTGCAAGCATCTCAGCAACAAAATACCTAGTTTCAACTGCTCCGTGAGTGTCTTCTTTCCTTTGTTCCGTTGTAGAACTTGGTTGTTGCTTTGGAATATGGAATGGAGACCATTCTCACAATGATGACATTTGTTCCATGAATATCAAATTCCTGGCCTGCTGGTCTGCTTGCCCTTCTGCACACACAACAACTTTTTGTTTCAATGCTAAATCACAGTAAATCTTTGTGAAGGCTTTTAAAACAGCAGTTAAATACACATAGCACCAATGATGCATTTGCCTCAAATGGAGAGATGATGAGGTGAACAACTACAACCAATATTCACCCATCACAGGCAATGGTAACTACGTCATGAGTCTGGCTCACAGAGACCATAAGACACATCCTGGTTTCAGAGATATTAAGATAAACAGGAGTTTCTCTAACAACATAAGCCTAGATGAAGATGTGTATTTAATTAAACAAAGTTCTAATTTTGAACTTTAGGAGGTAAAAACAAAAAAGAAAAAAAGGAAAAAACCAATGGCCTCAAAGCAGCATGTTGTATCATTTTTCTTCTTTATAACCATTCACAAATGCTGTGCAGTGACATTTAGATACACCCAGCTGAATATCTGTGCACTGGAAGTCACGTGGGTGGAAATAGGTCTCACTATGGAATTCTTGTAGGTGCGAACTTGGTATGACCCACAAAACTGTATCTTTACACTTGCCTACCCTTCCTCCCATGAGTTCAAAAAGGATCTTACGGTTTACATAATGAAATATGCATGAGTATGAAGTGACGATCATTTTAAAGTAAGAAAATCAGAAGTGAACTACAGCTAGTTTTTTTTTTTTAAACATGTGCTTAGTACATATGCCAAAGGAATGTGTAAAGGAAAAAGCCAAATTAGGAATTTATATCCATTTGAAAAAAAAATGGTTATATGACATTTAAAGTAGAATGTGACAAGCTTCTGCTACCAGTGAAAAAGTCTGCCTGGCTCCTTATGCCCCTCTCTGAGCTGGGCTTGCTGGGTTCTGTTTAATGGGGGAGGGGGTGCATGATGGGGTGGCAGGAAAAGTACCCTGCTATATGGCCAACCTCTTCTGTCACAGACCTTGTGTCCTTCTCCTGCTCAAGGATAAGGTCTGTCTTACTCCAAACCTCTGTTCTTTCTATCTTATGCTAATTCACAGAGGTGCTGCAAGAATCCAATATAAAAATGCCAATACTTCTGTTCTGTACAACTCACTGTAGCAAACAAGCTTCCCTGCAAAGCTCCCGTGGAGATGGGGCTGAGCGATTCAATGTTCTAGATGTCAGCTCACCATTCTGTGCCCCTGTAATGTGGCTAGAGTCTCAGATGCCTGGCCAGGTCTCTTGGGTGGCTCCACATGATCTGAATCTCCAGATGTGCCCCAGCCAGGCAACATCCCCAGCTGAGAGCTTTACCAGCAGACCCCTGATGTGGTGTATATCGTGCTCTCACCACAGACATGGAGGTCTGAGATGACAATGTTGGTCTGTGATGTATGTCTTTCATTTTTTCAAAAAGGCTTCAAGGTGGTTTATAACAGAACAGGCACAGACATAAGTTTTATAACATAAAAACTGACGTCAAGGCTTAATAGAGAAATAGGAGTCTAAAATGAGCTGAAGCAGAGGTGGAATAAACACAGCAGGGAGAAGCAAGAGCCACCTGTGAAAGTCCATGCTGCTCACCCTGCCTCCTGCAGCCTTATTGCTAAGCAAGCTTAAAGGACACAAGCAAATCAATGGACACAAGCAAACTAATGCTTCTCCAGAATGTCAAGAAACAAAGTTTGGAAGAGACCATGTGCCTGCCTGGTGCTTATAAAGCAAAGCTTGGGCAAATAGGCTGTATGATTAAATTGAATCGTCGGCAAGACACACTGTTCGTTTTCTGAAAGGGAGAGCCTGAACAAAGATTGGGGAAGATAAAAAGGTTCTTGGCAGGCTCCTAAACCACCTCTATGTGTGTAAGTTTAAGAAGTGATTACTTCCTCCCACTTGTACCACCTTTCTTTCCCCCAACTAAAATCTCAAATCCAGGACTTTCTTTGCCAGTCTACAAGCATACAGGTGATATAGAGTTGAGACAGACCATACACCCACTTCAAGTTAGAGTAAGATCCTAATTTATTGGGTCAGAGACGTGTGACCACACAGGCAAAGGCAGATACAGCAGTCCTTGTCATGGGGCCCCTCCTGGCATTCATTTCCCTGATGGATAAGACGTTTATGGTAATATGAAGTCACACTGGATTCTTGCTCTGCCACTGCTCTTGCAGGCTTGAACTTAAATCTCCATTTTGGAAGACCAGTAGTATACTGCATATGCTTCTATTTAAGGAATTCTTACAAAGAAGGCTCTCCTGATGCTTAAGACAGAATCAGCATTAGATTGTACTCCATAGCTTCAACTTCATGGAGGTTGGAATGTGTGGATAAGGGTGGCATTATTAATACCCTGACTTCCCTGAAAACATCTTTGTCTCTAGCTTTCCAGTATTTGGGAAAGGATCTCCTCCACCCCCAGCATGTCATTCTTCTGTTCAAAAATCACGCTGGCTTCTTTGTTTCACGAGACATTTCAAGGTCAAGATCACAAAGGTGGTTAAGTGGTTGTGACATAATAAGAAATATATATTTGGTCTCTGCCTGGTTTCTTGGCACACAGCTTCTTTTTGTATGCTAATGAGATGATGGTGGCTGGGGGCTCCTGGAAAGCCTCCAGATGGGGGCTGGTTGCCAGGGGAACCAACCAAGTGATTAGAGGGCTGGAACTTTCAGCCGGAACCCCTGACCTCTGGGGAGAGGAGGAGAGGGGTTAGAAGTTGAGTTCATTGCTAATGGCCAGTGATTTAACCAAGCATGCCTATGTAATGAAGCCTCCATCAAAACCCAGAATGATAGGGTTCAGAGAGCCTCTGGATTGCTGAACACATAACAGTGCTAGGAGGGTGGGATGCCCAGAAAGGGCATGGAAGCTCTGTGCCCCTCCCATATACCTTGCCCTAGGCACGTCTTCTTTCTGGCTGTTCCTGAGTTGTATTCTTTTCTAATAAAGCAGTAAGCTACTAAGCATATGGTTTTCCTGAATTCTGTAAGCTGTTCAAGCAAATTATTAAACCCGAGGAAGGGGTTGTGGGAACCTCTGATTTACTGCCACTCAGTCAAAAGCATAGGTGGCAACCTGGACTTGTGACTGGCATCTAAAGTGGGAGCAGTCTTGTGGGGCTGAGCTCTTAACTTATGGGATCTCATGCTATTGCCAGGTAGACAGTATAAAAATTGAGTTAAATTGTAGAACACCCAGTTGGTGTCTGGAAGTTGGAGAATTGGCTAGTGTGGGAACCCACTGCCCCCAACATTTGATGTCAGAAGAGTTGTGTGTTGAGTATGAGCACAAAGAAAAGCAGTTTGGTTTTTCCTATCTAGTAAAAGGGTTGAAACTTGAACCTGCGTTTTCTAACTCTTCAGAATTATGACTCCCTATCACACATGGGCATGTATGGCAGCAACTAGAATTCCCAAGCCCAATGAAGCTATGTTCTGTGTTTTTGTTTAGTTACCATGCCTGTTAGCTTGACATGAAAATAAATTTGTAAATAAGATGCTCAAAGTGGTCATGAGATTACCCAAGGTGTAATCTTAAAGTTTAAGAATGAGGTTAACATTAGCTTTTAAGATGATACCAACTTTGTATTCTAGGGTTATGTGTGTGTATATGATAAGTAGTTCTCAACCTTGCTTCTCAATGGAGTCAACGGGGTTTTTAAAAACTCCCCAAGTGGATATAATGTGAAGCCAAGACTGAAAGTCACTGATCTAATAACAGCTGCACACTAAGTCCTCTGCTGATGAGCTGCATAGCCTGAGAGGAACTGGAGGTGGTAGGGAGAGTGATGTCCTTGGAATGAGACAGACTTAGTTCACATCCAGGTGGCTCAGGAGAGTGCTTTCAGCTGTGTGATCTTGATCACTTTGTGCCTCACTTTCCTCATCCATGAAATAGAGGCTTATGAAGACTTCTGTGATAATATAGGAAAGTGCATCTCACAGTGTCTGGTACAGCCATCATGGCTGCTATGATCGATTATTATTAATCCTGAGGGTGTCTTCCTCCTTCCTAGAGTATCATCATCTCATCCTCCCTCAGCCTTCCCAAGGGCTCAGAGCAATGTAGCAAGTGAGAACCTGGGACACCAAGACAGGGCCTCCAGAAAAAGCCTGTGCTTCATGTTCCACAGTCTCTATGGCCTCAACTTTTTAAAACCGGCAAACAAAAGTGGGGAGAGGCCACCCAGGATGTGCAAGTTGCAGGGAGAGGAAGGAGCCGGTGGGAGAATATTCCCTGGAGGCCATGCTCTCTTTACCACATGCTGAGTTTGAAGTAAGCAGGGCCGTAAGGGTGATTGAAGATCAGCACCTTCCCACCAGACACACAGGTGAAATAAATTTGAGGTCTCACAGGAGCAAACAGCTCAGGCTGAAAACCTGAAAACCAAGGCATAGCCTGTTTTTTAGGGTTTGAGAAAAGCAGTGCTGGAACGAAAGGCCAGTCCTCATAGGCAAGCAAGGTCACACTAGGACCACAGTGTGGTGCCTTTTTGTACTGTTTTCTTCTCCCACCTATACCCCCAACCTCAATAAAACCAATTGTCAAGATTGTTGTTTTACAACTCTTTAAATCTGATTTGGAGAATATCACAACCTGGTGTGGTGGGAAAGAAACAGGCTTTGTAATATAACTTAGGGAATCCTGGATGTCAATGTCATATCTTTCCTTTCAGTCTCCTGCCTGGAGGGTGTGGCTCTGGTTACTGATACTTTGCCAGCAAGCTAGGAAGAGGGCCAGGGTCTCAGCATTCAGTATGTAAAACTGCCTTTACACCCTATTTTTGTATACAATGCTTGGTGTTTCCATAGTCATTCAACCAATTCTCTGACCTGTAGTTCCACCTCCACCCCCATTCCCAGGGGTTCCTGGAATTACTGCCGAATCTTAAGGTTTTGGGAGGTTCTATAGTTGGTTCTAGGTCTTCCTGACTCCTAGTTTAGGATTCAACTTCATCAGGTTTCCAAGGAAGTTACCCTTTCTCCATTTGTTTTCTAGATTTTGGTTTTTATTTTTTAATTGACAAATTGGAATTGTACATATTTATAGAGAACAATTTGATGTTTTGGTTAATATCTACATTGTATAATGATCAAATCAGGGTATTTAGCATATCTATTACCTCATGCATTTATCATCTTTTTTTTTGTGGTGAGAACCACCTTCACAAGCCTCTCTTCTAGTATTTAGTAATACACAATGTTTTACTATTAACCATAGTCACCCTACTGTTCAATAGAACACTAGAACCTATTTCTCCTGGTTGTAACCTTTTACCTATTAACCATCCTCTCCCCATTCTCTCCTTCCTCCCCTCCCAGTCTCTAGTAATCACTGTTCTACTCTTTGCTTCTATATCACCTCTTTTTCTTTTTTTAGATACCACATATGAGTGGTGAGATCATGTAGTATTTGTCTTTCTGTGGCTGCCTTATTTCACTTAACATAATGTCCTCCAAGCTGATCCATGTTGTTGCAAAGGACAGGATTTCCTTCATTTTTATGGCTGAATAGTATTCCATTGTGTACATATACCACATTGTCTTTATTCATCCATTGTTGGATACTTAGGTTGATTCCATATCTTCACTATTTTGAATAATGCTGCAATAACCCTAAGAGTGCAGATATCTTTTGATATACTGATTTCCTTTGGATATATATACAGTAATGGGATTGGTGGATCATGTGGTAGCTCTATTTTTAATTTTTTGAGGAACTTCCATACTGTTTTCCATAATGGCTGTACTAGTTTACAATCCTACCAACAGTGTGCAAGTGTTTTCTTTTCTCCACATCCTCACCGGCACTTGTTTTCTTTTGTCTCTTTTAAAATAATAGTCACTTTAACTGGATGAGATGGTATCTCATTGTGGTTTTGATTTGTATTTCCCTCATGGTTAGTAATGAGCATTTTTTCATGTATCTGTTGGCCATTTGTTTATCTTGAGAAATGTCTGTGAAGGTCTTTTGCTCATTTAAAAATCAGGTTAGTTTTTTTTTTGCTATTAAGTTCCTTATATAGTCTGGATATTAACCCCTTGTCAGATGTATAATTTGCAAATATTTTCTCCCATTCTTTAGGCCATCTCTTCACTCTGCTATTTCCTTTGCTGTGCAAATGTTTATTAGTTTCATGTAATCCTATTTGTCTATTTTTGCTTTTGTTGCCTGTGCTTTTAACTTCTTAAATTATATTGCTGTGTTTGCTCTCCTGTTTTCTTTGTTCTTCTGGTCTACTATTTTAAATAATCCCTTTACTATTTAATGAGGCTTTGATTACATGTGTTTATATTGTGCCACATTAAACCAGCATTCAACCCTAGATTTGAATGCCTCCTCTGTTATGTTCCTGTGATGGGACTTTGAAGAAGTTACTTAAACTCTATAGGCCTCAGTTTTGGTCAAC
Organism: Homo sapiens; assembly: GCF_000001405.40. Classification (NCBI taxonomy): domain Eukaryota; kingdom Metazoa; phylum Chordata; class Mammalia; order Primates; family Hominidae; genus Homo; species Homo sapiens. The sequence continues at coordinate 133,349,186 of NC_000003.12, read as the reverse complement.
TTAAAGGGGAAAAATAGTATTATATTTGTATTCCTTTGGCTATTAATGAAATTGAACACTTTTCCAGAAGTTTATTGCTCACCTGTATATTTTCTTTTGCTCAAGAGCACTGTCTGCTTTTTTCCTGTAATATTAGTCTTTAAAAATCTATTGTGAGTATTTTTTAATATGTCAAGGCTAGAAACTTGGTAACAATCATGTTTACTGAAAATATTTTCCCCCAATAGTTTGTCTGCCTTTGATTTTGTTTTGTCTATGGAGTTTTGTTTTGTTTTTGACCAAAGAAAAGTCCTTCCCAATCCTGTTTTTGGAAATATTTACCAATATTTTCCTCTATTTGTTTTATAATTTCATCTTCTACACTATGTAGTGGATGTTGTGTGCCACTCAGGTCCCCTCTTGAAGACTTAGGCTCTCATTCCCGAATTTCTTGGACTGTTGGATGCTGATGGCTCATTGTTCAATCTCTCTCCCAGAAATCTCACTGAGCCAAAGGGAGTTGCCTCACCCTACACCATGCCCCTCCAGGGTAAATCCCACATTCAACACCTGGTTGATGTCAGGGAACACAGGCCCTTGTCTCAATTTGGGACAGCTGTGATGGGCTAGCCCAGCTCCCCAGCTACCTGTGGAGTCAGCTGAGCTCTTCATATTAGCATGTATTAGAGGGACTGCCCGCCTCCACTCCGCTTCACTCTATCTCCCAGTGCACTCAACACTAAATGCCCTATACTAAGACTTCTCCCCAAGGTTTCCTGAGAAACCAAAGACAAAAAGTTCAATCCATTTGTAATTTACCTTGATATACTGTGTGTGATGAAGCTCTAACTTATTTTTTCCAAGTAATTAATTCTCCTAATACCATTTACTGACTTATCCTTTGCCCAGATTTTGAACTGCTACCTTTATTATATTTAAATTTTAAAAATATAATAAAACTGTTATAAACAAACTGTTTCAGGGCTATCTAGTTACCCTAATCTGTTCTCTTATATTTGTAATACAATATTTTGATTAATATTACTTAATGACATGTTTTGATTTTTGGTAAAGCAAATCTGGCCCCCCCCTCATTACTCTTGTTTTTCAAAAATATCTTTACTACTTGTTTCTGTTTATACTTTTAGATAAACTTTGGACTCATTTTCCATAGGTTAATTAAGAATTCCATTATTAGAATTTTGATTTGGATTTCAATAAGGCTATTTATTATAACTAATTTGGGCAATCCTGGCAATATTAAATCTCCCTTTGAGATAGAATGTGATCTCTCTCTTCATTAATTCAAATCTTCTTTTATGCTCCTTCTTGCAGTGAGGCTTTATAGTTTTCTTTCTGTGTTGGTTAAATATTAAGTTTTTCTGTTGCAATTATGAAAAAAATTTCTTTATATATTCTACATAGTCACTCCTGCTATATAGGGGAAGTATTACGTTTTTATTAACTTATTTTAGTGAGGTATAATTTACATATAGATAAAGAACAAGACAAGAATGTTACCTGTCACCACTCCTATTCCATGTCACACTGGAAGCCCTAGCTAATGCAATAAAGCAAGAAAAGGAACTACAAGTATACAGATTGAGAATAAATAAAACTTTGTTTGCAGATGACATGATTGCCAACGTAGAAAATCTCAGAGAACTGACAAAAAACAACAACAACAAAAAATACTGGAACTAATAAGCAATATTAATATACAAAAGTCAGTTGGTTTTCTATATACCATCAATGAACAATTGGAATTTAAAATGAAAAACACAACACTATGTACACTAACACCAAAAAGAAAAAAGGAAGGAAAGAAAACACTTAGGTATAAATTTAACAAAATATGTACAAGATCTGTATGTGGACAATGGCAAAACTCTGATGAAAGAAATCAAAGAAGGTCTAAAGAAATGGAGAGATATTCTATGTTCACAGATGAGAAGACTCAATATTGTGAAGATGTCAGTTCTTCCCAACTTGATCTACAGATTCAACAAAATCTCAATAAAAATCCCAAAGCAAGTTATTTTATGGATATTGACAAACTGATTATAAAGTTTATATGGAAAGGCAAAAGACCAATAGCCAATGCAATACTGAAGGAGAACAAAATTGAAAGACTGACACTATCCAACTTCAAGACTTACGATAAAGGTTCAGTAATGAAGGCAGTGTAATACTGATGAAAGAACAGAGAAACTGATCAACAGAACAGAATAGGGTCCAGAGACAGACTCACGCAAATAAAGTCAACTGATCTTTGACAAAGGAGCTAAGGCAATTCAATGGAGAAAGGACTGTTTGTTCAATAAACGGTGCCAGGACAACTGGACATCCACATGCAAAACATGAATCTAGACAAAGAGCTAACATCTTTCACAAAAATTAACTCAACATGGGTCATAGACCTAAATGTAAAATGCAAAACTATAGAACTTGTAGAAGATAACATAGGAGAAAATTTAGGTGACTTTGGGTTTCATGAGTTTTTAGATACAACACAAAAAGCAAAGCCTATGAAAGAAAAAAATGATAAGCTGGACTTTATTAAATTTAAAACTTCTGCTGTGATAAATTCAAAGAATAAAAGACAAGCCATCGACTGGAAGAAAATAATTGCATACATTCAATAAAGGACTTGAATCCAAAATATACAAATCTCTCTTAAAATTTAATATAAGAAAATTCAATTAAAAATTGGGCAAGAGATCTGAACAGATACCTCACCAATGAAGATAATACAGATAGCCAATAAGCATATGAAAAGATGTTCAATGTCATATGTCATTAGAGAACTGTCAATTAAAACAACAATGGGATACCACTACACACCTATTAGAATGGCTAAAATCCAAAACAAAAACAAAAACAAAAACAAAACAAAACTGATAATACCAAATGCTGGTGAGGAAGTGAAGTAACAGGAACTCTCATTCAGTGCTGACAGGAATGCAAAATGGTACAGCCACCAAGGAAGAAAGTTTGGCAGTTTCTTACAAAGTTAATCATAGTCTTACTGTATGATCTAGTAATTGTGCTCCTAGGTATTTACCTAAATGAATTGAAAATTTAAGTTCACACAGAATCCTACACATGAATGCTTATAGCTACTTTATTCATAATTGTCAACAACTAGAAGCAACCAAGATGTCTTTGAATAGGTGAACGAACACAGAAACTGTGGTACATCCGTATGATGAAATATTATTCAGCAATAAAAAGAAATGAGTTATCAAAGCACAAAAAGACGTGGAAGATCCTTAAACATATTGCTGAGTGAAAGAAGCCAGTCTGAAAAGGCTACATACTGTATTACTCCAATTTGCATACAGCAAAATTCATATATCTTAAATGTGGATTATATATCTGTTAATCAGCATTCTAATCAAGATGCAGAACATCTCCATCACCTGTCACTGGAAACTTTATATTCCTTTTCAAGCAATATTGCCTTTCAGAGCAGAACTTAATTTGAATAGAATCATTAGCTATTAATTTTTTTGTATGTTAACTCTGTAACCATATATTTTGCTAATGTCTCAGTTCTCATGGGTTAGGATCTTTCAGGAAAACAATAATGTTCCTTTGAATAATAATCTGGTATTACTTTCATAAGTTTGTAACTCTTATTTTTGTCTTTCATCATATTGCATTTATTTGAGTGTCTGGAATTGTTTGACGGTTATCTAGTAATCATGGTGGAAGGCATGCTTGTTTTAATCCTGGTTTTAATGATAATGACTACACATAATAAGAGCTATTGGTGTTAGGATAAGAACATATCTTTCTACATTTAATTGAGAGCTTTTATTCCCCTAAAGGAATAAATATTAAAAATTATCAAATAATTTTTCTGTAATATTTTGACATGGTCATCTAGCTCTGGGTCTCCTTAGACCTCATGATCTATATTAATGGCAATCTATGGATTAATAGCAATCCATCTTTGCATTCTTAGAATAAACTTCATTTGATCTTGATGTATATAATTTGACAAAACTGTTTCAGATTGCTGTATCTTTATTTATGATTAAGACTGGTTTGTAAGTTTGTTGGGTGTGCATGTGTGTGTGTTTAAGGTTTCAAGTTTGGCTTTGGAAACTCGGTTACATGAGCTGTATAATACAAACCAAGAAGCTTTAAATATTTTCAGTGACATAGGCCTCTTTATATATCATCTGAAATGCTTGTTCATTAAACTTTTCTTTTTAAAAGCCTACTTGTAAATAGTAAAAAACTTCTTTTTGGGAATAATTCTTTGACAACCTAAAAACTTAAAAATACCATCCATGCTTATAATTCTGACTTCCTATATAATTTTGGTTGATTTTTTTCCTAGGAGATTTTGAATTTTGTTGAAAATTTTACACTAAATATGTAATACAAAGTATAGTACAAAGTGTAGCAATTGCTTTAAAGTTTCCTCATCTGTAATATACTTTTCTCATACCAAATTTTTTTGTTTTGCCTTACTAAATTCACATTTTCCCTTACTAGACTGAAAGGTGCACATTTTATTATTTTGTTCCCAATCAACTACTGGATAATTCATAAGTGTGATTGTTTTTCTAATTTCTAATTATATTCCATTTTCTCTTCATATCTTCTTTAAATTCATTTTGTTATCTTTTGATTTTTTTTTGGGCTGAATTAATAGGTAATTTATCTTCATTCTTCCTTATTAAAAGATGAAAGCTTTGTCTGGAAGGATATATATCTTTTTGCTTTGCATTCAGAATTTATTACTAATGCATCTTCTTTCCTTCTGTTACTTATGCCTTAAGTATTTCTATAAAATAGTATATTGTGATCACTTTTCAACCATAAGTTTTGACATGTAGTTTTTGGACTGATGTTATTTTCTGTGCAATCGATATTTGAATTTTTAACTTTTTCTAATATCTAATATTTATTTAGGGTAAGTTTGCTTTAATGCCAAAATAGCTGTGAGATTTTTGTTTAAATTTTTTATTTTTTAAATTTCTAATCCTAGTTTTTATTGCACTAAGGAGAGGTTTTACTTTTTTGAATTTAAGGGTTTTTAATTTTTTGGTCCAGTATAGAATAATTTTTAATGAATGATCCATGGATATTTGAAAAGAAGATTATATCATCTGTAACAGTGGTTCCCAACCTTTTGGCACCAGGGACTGGTTTCATGGAAGACAATTTTTCTGTGGATGGAGAGTGCAGGGGGATGGCACTCTGTGACTACTATATTTTTGATATGGTTTGGTTGGAAAAAGGTTGTGTATAAGTAGACCTATGCAGTTTAAACGTATGTTGTTCAAGGGTCAACTGGATATTCACTTTCCCCAGTCTGCAGTCCAACCCTGGACTCTCAAATCTAGTTGATTTTTTTTCATTTTGCATATATTAAATCTCACTGTTTGTGATAAACATCTTATAAGGGTTTGGTAAATGCATACCATCAGATATCCACAACCCTAGTAAGAGTTTATACACCCTAACATTTCACTGTACAGCCCATTTTTAGTCACCCTGACCCTCCTCCCCCAATCACTGACAAGCACTGATCTATTTTCTGTCCATATAGTTTCCTTTTCTTTTTGGCTCTGGCTTCTTTCAGTTAACAAAATCTACTTAAGATTTATTCATGTCTTTGCACAAATCAGCAACCTTGTTCTCTTTTATTGCTTAATAGTGTTCCACTGCATGATTGTACCACAGTTTGTTTACTCATTCACCTGCTGAAGGACATCTTGGTTCTTAACAGTTTGGAGATATTAAGAATAAAGCTACTGTAAGCTATTAAACATTCACATGCAAGTTTTTGTAGAACATATATTTTCAATTTACTTGGATAAACACCAAACAGTGAGATTGCTAGGTTGAATAATATCTATATACTCAGCTTTATAAGAAACGTCTACAGTGTCTCTAAAGTGATTGTATCATCATTTCTTCCCATCCTCAATTAATTAGAGTTCCTGTTGCTCCACATTCTCACCAGCATTTGTTGCTGTCAATGTTTTAGCCATTCTAACAGTTGTGCTGCAGTATTTCATTTTGGATTTAGTTTCCTCTTCTCTAAGGACAAATAGTCTTGGGCACTTTTTTTATATGCATGCCACCCATATATCTTTTTGAAATGCTGCTTTGTATCTTTTGCACATTTTTTCTTGACATGTAATAATTGCACATATTTATGGGCTATAGAATGATATTTCAATACATGTATACAATGTGTAATAACCAAATCAGGGTATTGCCATATCCATCATCTCAAACATCTATCATTTCTTTGTGTTGGGAACGTTCAAAATTCTCTTCTAACTATTTGAAAATATACAATAAATTATTGTTAACTATAGTCACTCTGCAGTGCTAATAACACTAGATCTTATTTCTCCTATCTAGTGTAATTTTGTATCCCTTAACCAACCTCTCCCTATTCTCTTCTCCCTACTTCCACCCTTCTCAGGCTCCAGTAATCACAATTCTGCTCTCTACTTATATGAGACCAACAACTTTAGCTCCCACATGACTAAGAAGATGCAGTATTTATTTTTCTGTGCCTTACTTACTTCACTTTACATAATGTCCTCTAGGCTTATTTGTGTTGCCATGAATTTTCATTTTTTATGGCTGCAGAGTACTCCATTGTGTGTGTGTGTGTATATATATATACCACATTTTCTTTTTTAACTTTTTTAATTTTTAATTTTTGTGGTTATATAGTGGGTGTATATATTTTGGATTACATGAGATATTTTGATACAGACATGCAATGCATAATAATCACATCAGGGTAAATGAGGTATCCATCCTGCCTCAAGCATTTATCCTTTGTGTTACAAACAATCCAGTTATACTCTTTTAGTTATTTTTAAAATGTATAATTAAATTATTTTTGACTAGAGTCACCCGGTTGTACTAGCAAATACTGGGTCTTATTCATATACCTGTTTGACATGTGTATGTCTTCTTTTGAGAAATACCCATTCAGATATTTTGCCCATTTTTTAAATTGGGGTATTAGATTTTTTTCCTATGGAGTTGTTTGAAATTTATATTTCCTGATTATTAATCCCTTGTCAGATAGATAGTCTGCAAATATTTTCTCCCATTCTGTGGGTTGTCTCTTCACTTTATTAATTATTTCTTTTGCTGTGCAGATGCTTTTTAACTTGAAGTGATCCCATTTGTTCTTTTTGCTTTGGTTGCCTGTGCTTGTGGGGTGTTACTCAAGAAATTTTTGCCCAGTTCAATGTCCTGGAGGGTTTCCCCAATGTTTTCTTTTAGTAGTTTCATAGTTTGAGGTCTTAGATTTAGGTTTTAAATCCATTTTGATTTGATTTTTGTAATATGGTGAAAGATGGGGGTCTAGTTTCATTCTTCTGCATATGGATATCCAGTTTTCCAGCACCATTTATTGAAGAGATTGTCTTTTCTCCAATGTATGTTCCTGGCCCCTTTGTCAAAAATGAGTTCATTGTAGATGCATGGATTTTTCTCCAGGTTCTCTATTCTGTTCCACTGATTTATGTGTCTATGTCAGTAGCATGTAGTTTAGGTTATTATAGCTCCATAGTATAACTTAAAGTCAAGTAATATGATTCTTCCAGTTTTGTTCTTTTTGCTTAGGATAGCTTTGGCTATTCTAGATCTTTGCAGTTCCACATATGTTTTAGGACTATTTCTACTATTTCTGTGAAGAATGTCATTGGTATTTTGATAGGGATTGCATTAAATCTGTAGATTGCATTGGGTAGTAAGGGCATTTTAACAATATTATTTCAATCCATAGACACGGTATATCTTTCCATTTTTTGGTGTTCTCTTCAATTTCTTGCATTAATGTTTTATAGTTTTCATTGTAGAGATCTTTGGTTAATTCCTAGGTATTTTATTTTATTTGTAGCTAATGTAAATGGGATTACTTTCTTGATTTCCTTTTCAGATTATTCACTGCTGGCATACAGAAATGCTACTGATTTTTGTATGTTGATTTTGTATCCTGCAACTTATTGAATTTATCAGTTCTAATAGTTTTTTTGGTGTGTATGGAGTCTTTAGGGTTTTCCAAATATAGGATATCATCTGCAAACAAGGATAATTTGACTTCTTCCTTTCCAATTTGGATCTCCTTTATTTCTATTGTCTGATTGCTCTAGATAGGACTTCCACTGCTATGTTGAATAACAATGTGGAAGTGGGCATCCTTGCCGTGTTCTAGATCTTAGAGGAAAGTCTTTTAGTTTTTCCCCATTCAGTATGATACTAGTGATTGGTCTGTAGTATATGGCTTTTATTATGTGGAGGTATGTTCCTTCTATACCCACTTTTTTGAGGGTTTTTATCATGAATGTTAAATTTTGTTGAATGCTTTTTTAGCATCATTTGAAATGATCATATGGTTTTTGTCCTTCATTCTGTTAATATTATGTTTTACATTAATTGATTTGTGCATTATCCTTGCATCCCTGGGATAAATCCCATTTGGTCATGATGAATGATCTTCTGAATATATTGTTGAATTCAGTTTGCTAATATTCTATTGAGAATTTTTGCATCAATATTTATTAGTGATACTGGCCTATAGTTTTTTTGTTTGTTTTTTTTTGATGTGTCTCTGTCTGGTTTTGGTATCAGGGTGATACTGGTCTTATAGAATGAGTTCGGAAGTATTCTCTCCTCTATTTTTTGAAATAGTTTGAGTAGAATTGGTATTAGTTGTTCTTTAAATGTTTGGTCATCAGAGACTGGGCTTTTCTTTGCTAGGAGAACTGTTACTAAAGGTTTGCTCTTGTTATTTGTTATTAGTCCGTTCAAGTTTTGGATTTCTTCATGGTTCAATCTTGTTAGGCTGTATGTGTCTAGGAATTTGTCTATTTCTTCTAGATTTTCCAATTTATTGACATATAGTTGCTCACGATAGCCACTAATGATCCTTTGAATTTCTGCAGTATCAGCTGTAATCTCCTTTTTCATCTCTGATTTTATTTGGGTCTTCTTTTTTTCTTAGCTAGTCTGGCTAAAGGTTTGTCAATTTTATTTTTTCAAAAAAAAACAACTTTTTGTTTCATTAATCTTTTGTATTGTTTCCTTCATTTCATTTCATTTATTTCTGTTCTGAGCTTTCTTATTTTCTTCTACTGATTTTGGATTTGTTTTCCTCTTGCTCTTCTAGTTCTTTAAGATGTAATATTAGGTCGTTTATTTGACATTTTTCTTCTTTTTTGATATAGGCACTTATAGCTATAAATTTTCTTCTTAGTACTGCTTTCACTGTATCATACAGGTTTGGTATATTGTGTTTTCATTATCATTTGTTTCAAGAAAATTTTCAATTTCCTTCTGATTTCTTCATTGACCCACTGGTCATTCAGGAGGCATAATGTTTATTTCTATGCATTTGTATAGTTTCCTAAATTCCTCTTGTTATTGATTTCTAGCTTTATTCCATTGTGGTCAGAGAATATACTTGGTATTATTTCAATTTTTTGGATGTTTTAAGACTTGTTTTGTGACCTGACACATGGTCTATTCTTTAGAATGATCCATATGTTGAGGAAAGGAATATGTATTCTGCAGCCACTGGATGAAATATTCTGTAAATATCTATTAAGTTCATTTGGTTTATAGTGCATATTAAGTCTGATGTCTCTTTGTTGATTTTCTGTCTGGAAGATTTGTCCAATGCTGAAAGTGGAGTGTTGAAGTTCCCAGCTATTATTGTATTGGGGTCACTTTCTTTAGTTTTAATAATCTTTGATTTAAATATCTGGGTGCTCCAGTGTTGGGTGTATATATATTTAAAATTATTCTATCCTCTTGCTGAATTGACTCCTTATCATTATATAGTGACCTTCTTTGTCTCTTCTTAAAGCTTTTGTCTTGAAATCTATTTTGTATAAGTATAGCTACTGCACTTTTTTGGTTTCCATTGGCATGGAAGATCTTTTTCCATCCCTTTATTTTCAGTTTATTTTTGTCTTTATAGGTGAAGTGTGTTTCTTATAGGCAACTGATAATTAGGTCTTGGTTTTTTTTTTAATCCACTCAGCCACTCTATGTCCTTGATTGGAGAGTTTAGTCCATTTACATTCAATGTTATTATTGATAAGTAAGGGTTACTCATGTCATTTTGTTATTTGCCCCCTGGTTGTTTTGTGGTCTTCTCTTCCTTCTTTTCTTCCTTCCTGTGTTCTGTTCTTTGGTGTTATTATTTTCTTTGGTGTTATTATTTAATTTCTTGCTTTTGATTTTTTGTGTATCCATTAGCTTTTTGATTTGAGGCTACCATGAGGCTTGCAAATGCTATCTTATAACCCATTATTTTAAGCTGATAACAACACTCTTTGCATAAATAACCAAGCAAAAATAAGACTATTAAAAATTGTATGCCTTAATTTCATCCTCCTGATTTTAAGCTTTTTGTTGTTTCTATTTATATCTTATCGTGCTGTCAATGTCTTCAAAAGTTGTTGTGGTTATTATTTTTGATTGGTTCATCTTTTAGTCTTTCAATTTAAGATATGAGCAGTTTACACACCACAGTTATAGTGTTACAGTATTCTGTTTTTCTGTGTACTTACTAATACTAGTGAGTTTTGTACCTTCAGATGATGTCTTATTGTTCATTAATGTCATTTTCTTTCTGATTGAAGAACTGTATTTAGCATTTCTTGTAGGACAGATCTAATGTTGATGAAATCCCTTAACTTTTGTTTGTCTGGGAAAGTCTATTTCTGCTTCAGGTTTGGAGTATATTTTCACTGGATACACTATTCTAGGATAAAAGTTTTTTCCTTCAGTACTTTAAATATGTCATGCCACTCTCTCTTGGCCTGTAAGGTTTCCACTAAGAAGTCTGCTGCCAGATGTACTGTACCTTCATTTTATGTTGTTCTTTTCTCTTGCTGCTTTTAGCATCCTTTCTTTATCCTTGACGTTTGGGAGTTTAATTATTAAATGCCTTGAGGTAGCTTTCTTTGGGTTATATCTGCTTGGTGTTCTATAACCTTCTTGTACTTGGATATTGATATCTTTCTCTAGGTTTGGGAAGTTCTCTGTTATTATCCCTTTCAATAAACTTTCTACCCCATCTCTTTCTCCATCTCCTCTTTAAGGCCAATAACTCTTAGATTTGCCCATTTGAGGGTATTTTCTAGATCCTTATAAGTGTGCTTCATTGTTTTTTGTTCTTTTTTCTTTTGCCTCCTCCGACGTGTATTTTTAAATAGCCTGTCTTCAAGCTCACCAATTCTTTCTTCTGCTCAAGTCTGCTATTAAAAGACCCTGATACATTCTTCAGCATGTCAATTGCATTTTTCAACTCCAGTATTTCTGCTTGATTGTTTTTAATTATTTCAATCTGTTTGTTGAATTTATCTGATACAATTCTGAATCCCTCCTCTGTGTTATCTTGAATTTCTTTGAATTTCCTCAAAACAGCTATTTTGAATTCTCTGTCTGAAATGTCACACATTTCTTTTTCTCCAGGATTGGTCCTTTCTACCTTATTTAAGTTCATTTGGTGAGGTCATGTTTTCCTATATGATCTTGATTCTTGTTGATGTTCTTCGACGTCTGGGCATTAAAGAATTAGGTATTTATTGTAGTCTTCACAGTGTGGGCTTGTTTGTAACCATCCTTCTTAAGAAGGCTTTTCAGATATTCAAAAGGAGTTAGGTATTGTGATCTAAGCCATATCTGCGTTAGGGGACACCTGAAGCCCAGTAACGCTGTGGTTCTTACAGACTCATAGAGGTACTGCATTAATGGTCTTGGATAAGATCTGAAAGAATTCTCTGAATTACCAGGCAGAAACTCTTGTTCTGTTCCCTTAACTTCTCCCAAATAAATGGAGTCTCACACTGTGTTTTGAGCCACCTGGAGCTGGGAGTGGGATGACACAAGCGCCCCTGTAGCTACCATCAATGGGAGTGTGCTGGGTAAGACCTGCAGCCTGCACAGCACTGGATCTCACCCAAGGCCTGCTATAACTACTACCTGGCTACCATTTGCTAAAGGTCCTGGGGTTCTTTGATCAGCAGGTGGAGAAGTCAGCCAGGTTTGTTTCCTTTCCTTCTGGGCAGCAAGTTTCTCCAGGCCCCAGGTGGGTCCAGAGGTGCCACCCAGGAGCCAGGGGCTGGAGTCAAAAACCTCAGAAGTCTACCTACCTGGTGTTCTACTGTACTGTGGCTGAGCTGGCACTCAAACCATGAGACACAGTCCTTCTCACTCTTTCCTCCCCTTTCCACAGGGAGAGAAGCCTCACCTCACAGCCGCTACTACCATAGGCCACAGGGGAGTACTGCCAGTCTACTGCCAACATTTACTTTAAGCCCAAGAGCTCTTCAGTTGGCTTGTTGTGAATGCTGCCTGGCCTGGGGACTCACCCTTCAGGGCAGTGGGCTCCCCTCTGGCCCAAGGCAGGTCCAGCCATGCTATCCAAGAGCCATGGCCTGGAATCAGAGACCCTAAGAGCCCCCTTGCTGCTCTGCCCCTCTGTGGCTGAGCTGGTACACAAGATGAAAGACAAAGTCCCTTTTACTTTTCCCTCCACTTTTCTCAAGCAGAAGTAGTCTCTCCCCATAGCTACCACACCTGAGAATGTGCTGAGTCTCACTTGAAGCCAGTGAGTCTCAGAGTCCCACCCAAGACCCATGGCAAAGTACCTGGGTATTGCTGCTGGTTATTTAGAGCCCAAGGACTCTTTAGTAGGCAGTGAGTTCCCTTCAGGCCCAGGGTGTCTAGCAATGCCAACTGGGAGCTAGGGACTGGAAAGAGGGCCTCATACTCTGACTGTTGCCCTATCCCACTCTGATGAGCTGGTATCCAAGAGGCAAAACAAAGTTCTCTTAACTCTTCCCTCTCCTATTCTCAAGTGGAAGGAAGGGGTCATTTTTGGAGCCATGAGCTGTGCAACTGGGGTTTGGGGAAGGGTGGGATAAGCAAATCTCCAACCCTTAGGTTGGGGGAAAGGTGGCATAAGCACTCCCAGCTGGTGTCTCAGTAGGTCATGCGCCTTAAAGTCCACTGGTTCTGAGCTCAGTTCAGCACCAGAACTTACCTAGGAATTGGAGTCTTTGTGACCTAGACTGCCTTTCAAGTTTATTTAGGGCCCAAAGGCCTTTAGCCCTCAGTGGTGCAGCTTGCCAGAACTCAAGTTCCAACTACTGGGATGGGCAATTCCTCTCTGGCTAGGGCTGGTTTAAATACTCCCTTGATGGGTGGGTGTCGGCTAAGTTCAGCCCAGTTTTGCTTTCTGTTGTGACAGGGCAGCACTGAGTTCAACACACTGTCCCACAATTGTTGCACTCTCACACTGAAGTGAACAGATTCTTTCTCCGTGCCGTGCAGCTCCCGGCAGAGGATGAGGGAAGGGTACCATCGGTGATTCAGCACTGTGTTTCCTATCCTCTTCAATGACTCTTTCAGCGATATGAAGGTAAAACCAGGTACTGTGAGTGCTCATCTTATTTTTGGTTCTTTTGAAGGTGTTTTTTGGTGTAGATAGTTATTAAATTTGGTGTTCCCGCATGGGGGAACAATTGATAGAGCCTTCTATTTGATCATTTTGCTCTGCTCATTCTATATACCACATTTTCTTTATCAAATCTTATTTAATTTTGATTCCATAATTTACTAAAGACTAAATGTGATATGCTAAGTTTTTCACAACAATTATATTTTATCCCACTTTTTTGTCTTCAAATAGCTTTTGCTTTTGTATTTCTGTGCTATGTTATAGTACATTACACATTCATTGTGGATTGCAACTTTTATAAAACAATCCTCTATCCAAAGCATTTTCCTCTGGAGTTTTATTTTAACCAATATTAATAGTGCCACTACTACCTTGTTCTGACTTTTGCTTTTTTTGATTTAAAAATATATTTGTTTTATTTTTGTCTGATTTTTCTCTATCTTTATTTGTAAATCTTTTGTGTCATTTGAGTTAGGTGAATGGAGCACATGGCTATGCTTTGTTTTAAATGAAAGTCTTTGTCATCCAGCGGAGGACTTTAATTCATTTACATTTATTGACATAAATGTTGGTAGGTCTTATTTCTCTCATCTTGCTTTACAATTTCTATTTTACTGCTTGTATTGCTTTTATTTTGATGCTTCCTTATTTCTTCATCTTTAAAGTATATGTACTGCTATTTTCCTACCATAATTACATTTCTCTAATTACAAATATGAAACTCTGAATCTCTTCCTTACCAATCCTATGTAAAATAAGAAATTTATCAAGCTGGTGGGCTTGATAAAGGGCTTACCCATTCCTGTTTCTAAACAAACAATTATGCTTATTTAAACAATCTGTTCCAAACAACTACCAGCAAAAATGTGAACTGTTCTTCATTAGTCTACTAATTGAATTTTCTAACTATCCTGATGCCAGGAACACCATGTATCAGTTATGCCTAAAATGTCATTTAAAAATAAAATTGCTTGAGGACAAATCAGAAATTAGCATCTTTAACTATTTAACTATTTAATTACTTTAAGGGCTCCTGGTCATAGTTTCCACATTCTACTTCCTTCTCTGTTACAGACTTGAAAGCGTGTGTCAGATCCCTTCACTATATCTTCAGACCTGCCCCAAGGAGTGAGGAAGGGCAACACCAAGAACTTCTCTCCAAGGACCATAACCTGCGAACCCCATCTCACCTCCTCCTGCCAGATGGACACAGTCATTGTCCTCCTGGCTGATCCCATGTCCATGTCTTGCTCTGGCTACTTTCATACACCCATAATGACATTTTCCATCTACTCAATTTTTTAAAAGCTCAGCTCGAACCTCACGGATTTTCCTGACAATCTGCTTCTCTCAATGGCCTTAATTTAAGTGAGGGTTGTCAGTCTTACTGGGTCTCGTTTTTTGTCTTAAATAATAACTATTTATGGGTATCAAGTGTCTCCTCAATTTGGCTATGATCCTTCACGGCAGAAATACTGTCTTATCTTGTGATCATGGAGTCACAAGATTTCATGGCTAGGAATATTCGTCAAATTAATCCTAGATTGAGGATCAGGTAGTATGTGGTCTGATTCTAACTCAACAACTTGCAGAAACTCACTTCTTTTTTCTTTTTTTTTCCCCAGGAGGAGCTATCGTATTAACTGACGAAACTCACTTCATTTCTTTGGACCTGCAAAATGAGGATGGGCTCTAAACCACCTCTAAAGTTAATATTCTATGATTCCATGATAAGGCTATTTGTCATTTATAAAAAAAGGAACTTCCACATAGCCCAGAGAAAGGAAATGACTTTTTCAAGTTTACAGAGTCAATTAATGGACGAAATGTAATTTGAAATTCAATCTCCTGATCCCCAGTCTATTGGGAGTTCTTTCAGAATGTCCCTTGACTGTCCCTCAAAGTGCCAGCATGTATGAAACCTTGTTAAGGATGTATGCTCAATGAAAATACACAAATTGACTTAACAAGAAACTAAACTCTCCAGAAAGATGCAGTTGACCCAAAACTCTGAATATCTTTTATGTTTAAAACTTTCTTTTTTGAACAAAATTGTACAGTTACTTCTCTATTTCAACTCTTAAGCCTTTTATGCCACGTCAAAGGTTAGCTCTCTTTTCTCTCTGTTAATAAAGTCTTATTCTTGACTTTGGAACTGTATGCCAAGCTAAGGGGTCCTTTATTGTTTATTTATTTTTTGATTCTCTACTTTTGATTCACACATCTTTTCTACAAGAAAGACAATTTATAGCAGGGGCATATTACTTTCTTTGGGCCTCTGTGTCCTTATCTATAGCCAAAAGGTATGGAAATAAATGTTTTCTAAAGGTCTTTCTGGCTCTAAGTTTATTTGATTTTTTTTTTTTGAAAGAGGGGCCAGGGAATGGATAAGCAGAGTAAAGAAGGTGAAAAAAGTAGTCTGATACATGGTTAAAATGTAGAGAGTTTATTTTGGAGAGTAATTTCAGAAAACAGGTATGGGGGACTGGAAAGAATGAAAAGGTGAGGGAGAGAAAGAACATCCAAGGGTGTGTTGTTTTAATGAAAATTTAAATTTAATAGCCAGTGTATGGCTACTATACTGGACAGTGCAGGTCTAGAACTTTCATCATAGAACTAGAGGCATGGCTTCCCTCAAAAAAGCCACAAGCTCCCACAAAGAGACCTTCACCCTACAAGGAAGGAGAGGTGCTGCACCCACATAGAGCTTGCTAGGGCCTTGTCACCATGGCATATGCAGCCATTCCACTCTGGCCGCAGATGGGGTCATGGTGGATTCATGTTAGGGACTGAGGAGATGGTCTAATTCTTTGACAAACCCTCAGGGATCTGATACTTGGAGCACTACAAGGGATAAACTCTCTTTCTGTATGTCAATTTATCTTCCTGAAATAGTTTGTGAAAGTAACACAAATGGTCATTCACTTTCCTAATGGTTTCTTGGTTAAAGGAACATGCTATGCAGTGTGAATGATCAACTTAAAGGATAGGAAGAAGACTGAATCGAGCTGATTGAAAATGACTAAAATAGAATGGCTACAAGGTATAACCCTCTATCTCCCATTTTGAGAAACGTCTTGAAATATACCAGCACCCAAGATTTAAGTTTGGGGCTATAAGCATTTCCTAATAAGGCTAATTACCACAGCATCAGAAGAATCTTGTTCTAACACTATTTTACCTACCTGCCTAAAAGCCAGGGTCCACACTGAGATGGATCTCTCTGGTCCCTGTGTGTCACTGTTGGTATCTCCTGCCACATATTACAACTCTCCCAGCTTTCCCTGTTTAGTGGGCATTAACTAGCTTTCAGAGCGAGACTTTAAGGTAGAAATAGATGAAACCATTTTCCTCCCTCATACACTGTCCTTCCTAATATGAGGAGTGGCTGTTCCAGTGGCAAATTGGACACCTCAGCCACTTTGGATCATGATCTGCCTGGATAAGTCAACTGAGGGACCCTGGGAGCTACAGGGAGCCATCTGGAGATTCACTGTACCATTTATCATCTTCTGCTCCTTGTGCACCCCTCCCCTATAAGACTTCAGATGATATTTTTGTCCTCTTGGCTAACTAAATGGGGTGAGGTCCTTAAGCTAAACTTAGAGAGTGTCTAGGTAAGTGTGTGTGTGTGTGTGTGTGTGTGTGTGTGTGCACGTGCGCACGCACGCGCACAAGCACACATGTGCACAAGTTTTCTTCCAACCAACATGTAACTCCATAAAAAGCACAAGAATGTGCTGTAGAAACTCAAGGTTGCAGTCCCCTAAGTGTGACTATGGTCTATACGTTCAGACCTGGCTATATCAGGTCTGACTATAAGACCAGATCACGATCCAAACCCTGTAGCCAGAAAATTGAACTCAAAGTTTCAGTACATATTTTTGACATAAGCTGACTTCTGGTCTGGCCTCTTGGGTCTTGAGGCCTCCCCATCCTCCATCACTAGAATTCCCCTGACAAGTACTAATAAGATTGCTTCTTCTGAGTTCTTGAATATGTGTATCATTGAACACAGAGGGCCATGCCTGGGAAAATCAGATGAGAAATGATAATCAGTACGGGTCCTTGGGAGTCCCAGTAGATACATAGCTTGTAGTCTATAAATGGCACTGACATAGTTGCTCAGGGCAGTTTCTATATGCCTTGTGCTCTTCAGAGGGTTCTGATAGGCTAAGAAAGGCAATATTTTGGCTGTTCAACCCATATACTGTAGCCCACACTGGATAGTTTGTCATTGGTTTTAGGAAATACAGTCATTTGTCTAGTTTCTCTGCCTCTATTAATGTTCCATCAGAGGAATGTTCCATTAGGATGCTAATGCTTGGGCCATAAAATAATCAACAATGGGAGAGACCTGTTAACCCTAGATCAAATCCATATACTCACCCTTGAATATCATTTCCCTCCTGTGTAACCAGCATTTTTTCATTACAAATAAGACATCTGATGACAGTGAGCGTCTCCAAACCAATCAACCACCCACACCAAACGTCAGTATATTCCCTTTAGTAAAATGTTTTTCTAGCCTGCAGCCTCATTTTGTTGAGGCCTACCATGATTTCTTCCATATTTAAGAGCTGACAGACACATGTACAACTGCTTCTTTTTACTTTATGACTTTTTGATTTTTTATTAGAGGTTTAAGTAAACCTCTATGTAGTATCATAAGCCTCCCATGCACCAAACATTATCAGCCCCCAGTCAGTCTAGTTTCATCTAAATCCCCATCCCCGTCCCTCCTCTCCTATGTTGTTTTAAGGTAAATTCCATCAGATAATTATAACTATTTTATATATTTATTTGATCCTCTTTCTCTGCTATGTTATGTTGTCTACTTTTAACTTCTAATGCTTTGTTTTGAGGTAAATCCCAAACATCATACTTTTAAGGAATCCCTTTCTTCCTCTTAGCCTGATATACTCTGTTATAAAGTTATTTGTTTAACTAGTTTCCATAGAATTGAACACATTAAAAAAACAGATGCAATTTGGTCAGCATCAAAATATGAGTCAGAATTCATGAGGCCAACAAAGCTGGCTCCATTGTCTAGAAAAAGCTAAATATAATTGGAAGACACAAGCACTTTATTTTTGCTAAACAACAGAACAAAGCAAATACACTATTACCACCACCACCAACAAAAAGATAAACACAAGATATAATCTGTGTAATCACTTTCTTGTAAAACCAGATGGTTTTACTACCCAAGACTTTCTCCTATGTCATTCTAGAAAAGGATTTTTCCAAGAAAACTAGCTATAACCCACATATCAAAATAATACATATTCTCATATTCTCTCTCTTACACACACATATATACACACCCCACCTCCAAACCCACACCCATCTTTGAATATTGTTTCCCTCCTGCTTAACCTTTTCAGATGGAGAATCTGGATTTAGACAGGAGAGCTTCCTCTCCACCTCTTTGCCTCTCCAGGAATCCCCTCCCCTGCAGCTGCTCTCCATAGCAACTGGCAGAGGAGTCTCAGCAGCAGCTACTGCACCACAGGCTTCCGCAGGGGAAGCATGGCCAGCAGAGAGAAGGCTTCTTATCTATTGAAAGGAAACTTATTTTTTAAAAAGTTGTCTTCATCAAGGGAACTGATCTAGCACATTTCAGGGTAGGTAAATAGCTAGAAGTATTTATGGCATTTTTAATGTTCCTTTTCCTCCTGTATGCTGTCACAGATTTTTTTTTCTCCAAAAGCAGGAAACTGCCAGATGCAAAGCATAAAAAGACAGGTGGAAACTCATTCCTTGGAGAACCTGTATTGCATCTTTCCCAGCACCAAGATTCTTGATGCAGGAGATTTTAGACTTAATCCTCTCTAGGTAGAGGGAATATAACCACACACTATCCTATAACCCTTCTCTTAGGGAATCTAGATCACAGCCTAGAAACATGTTTACTCAGCAATTAAGTGTTCACCGTGCAGTGCAATTTTGGGTGAAGGCTAAACACAGGGTGCTGGGTCTTCACTTTGCAATTTGCTTTTTCTCCTGCTCTTGTGTGCCTGCAGGCTATGATAAGAATTGTTGAAACTTTTTCTTTGCCTTAAAAAAATAAATAAAAAAAAGGAGGCTTTCTGAGGAAAGGAAAGGATAAGTAAAATCTCTCCCAAAAGACCTTCTTGTCTGATTAGCAAAGCTGCTCAAAGATGAACCTGCAGGGAAAAGGAGCCGCTGGAGGTTGGGTTTCTTCCACTCCCAGGATTTCCCCCTTCCTTTTCACTGGAGCTTTTCTTTGAGGCCTGAAATCCTGACTGCCGGGACAAGACACAGCAAAATTCTGCCAGTCACCTGCCAGGCTGTCATAGGATCTAGGCATCAATGAACTGAAGCAGTAATGTGTCACCTGCATAGGGAAAAATATTTACCTTTCTCAGCAAAGAGCCCCAACCTCTTTCCCCAGATTCCATCTCTGATTCTAGTGAAGGCGACTTGGAAAATAGTCCCAGGCATTAGGCAATTTGGGGTGTTAATGTTTTTTTAAAGCAGACACTCCCCTTCCCAACTACAACTACCACACAAACCATAAGCCTGAACTGAATAGAAATGGGGTTTTCACAAAGTACTAGTGTTGCCACATACATTCCTAGACATGTGCATGTCACAATTTCTCAAACACTTATTTACTATATTCCAGACATCACACTAGATTCCGAAAATGGTTAAAACAGTCCAGACACTCTTAGGCAGCCTGCAGGGGTTGGGGGTGGGTGTGAAGACATACAGATAAATAAATACCACCATGATGTAATAAGGTTTAAAACAGAGGCATGGATTTAGCACGATGAGACTGAAAAGAGAGCAGTGAATAATTACCTCTAACCATCTTCCTCCTTGATTCCTTCCAACCACTCCCAATTATTTGGGGGAACCTGTGGCATAGAAGGTTCAGAAAGCATTGTTCAGGGTTCATTCCTATGTTACATCTAACCTACTGCAAACTTGGAAACTAAAAGTAAAATAAACATGTGGTTCCACCATCCACTGTTCTCTGGGGATGGATTCTGTCTGCAGCTGCATGACAGTCTGACAGCATGAGATGAGAGAGGGTGGGATGAGGTTAGGAAAATCCACCTCTGCTATCTGCCTGGAAATGCCTGATAACATTGTTCTCACCCTGCTTGAGTAGAAACAATCAGAGTCCCTCTGCTTCTCACAGAGTGATAGAGAGGGAAGACACCCTGCTGAACCAGGCTGGGGCCACCATACAGTATAAAGGCCACTGAGTGCTCATGTACTTTGGTGACTTGCAGAAACAGAAAAAACTAATCAAATTACTGGGACTTTCATTTATCTTTAGTAGGCTTTTAGTCTACCACCGTACCACCCTGAATGTGCCTGATCTCACCAACCCGACTTTTACATCCAGGTGACAGGCTTAGAGTTTTTTTCCAACGATACCTCATTTTCTTGTGATCGGAAGGTCATGACATGGTCTTACACTCAGGCACAAATAATTAATTCCCTATTAGGCACACACCGTTGTCCTAAACAGTTCCTTCTGACCTCATGACATTAGGATACAACATTTAAAATGATGAACAGAAGAGTCTCCTATTTGGGAAAGCACACATCTAACTGTAGTTCTGAATGTAGGTCTGAATTTCCCTGGACTTGCACTCTTAGACTCCAACACAACACACTGACATGAGATCAGAGACAGATGAATGGAACTAAACAGCAAGCCCCCAAAAGATGAAAAATTAGTCCACAACAAAGGTGGTATTAGAAAACAAGGAGAAGAATAATTGTCCAACAAACGGAATTGGGGCTATCAGTTAAGCATGTGGGGAAAAATACTGAGATACGTATTTCACTCCATACCCTTGTTACAGCTACCTCCCTCCTGCCTGCACTTTTTCCTTCACTGAATTTCACCGCTGCTTTTCACAACTTTCTTGACTCTTCTTTTGTCTTTGCTTGTCCTGACAGACTCTAGAATCCTTTGACCCTGCCGCCCATCCACAGAAATGAGCCTTACCTCTGCTCTTTCCATTCAGAAAGGTGGGATCCCTGCCCCTGAGCCTCTGTAGCCTTGAACTTTTGCAATGAAGTAGCAAGACTGACAAGGGCAAAAGAAGATGTTAACTGCACATCCATTCTGACCTTGACACCAGTCTGAGGTGGCAGCACCTCTTCAAACACTTCAACAGAAGCAACAGCCCTCAGGCCCTCCTGCCAATGGACATTTTCTGGGGGGCTCCTATCACTATTCAGGATTTGCCTGGCATTAGTACGACCTGATGCTGCTCTGGCTGAGCAGAGCTGACTGGGACCTGAGGGCAGCCTGGGGAAAAGTCAATTCCAACATGCAGTCAGGCCTAGTTGGATAACTGGTATTTACATACTTCTGTCTTCATAATAACCCTAACACCATGAGGCCCAGGCCAGGGACCTGAATTAACCACAAAGAAACTTTAATATGGTCAAAAAATGTGGCTTTCTTCAAAGAAAGCCCAGTGCTCTGACAATATCAATTAGAATTATTTTTCCTCTTGACCTTGGCACTAGTCTCAATCATTCTTTATAAATTCCTTTCTCTGGGTGACTGGCATTTTTCTTCTGAGCAGGGACATGTTTGTCCACTCAGCATCCTTCACAAAGTACACAAAGGCACCCTTCTTGTGGCAAACAGTCACACACACTCACAGCCTGGGGAGTCCACCTAGGTTCCTATGTTCAGTGAAAAACCTGAAAAGCTGTACCTGAAAGGCTTCTGAGGCATTCATGTTTCAAAGAAGCATCTGTTAAACTCATTCATTCTGCAAGTATCAAGAGAGCACCTAACGGAGGTGGGAAAATAATACTTCTCATGCCCCAACTATACTGTGGGCACTTGAATGTCTTCTTTCATTAAATCCTCTAAGTGGACATATTATTTCACAGATAAGGAGGCTAAAACATGTCAAAGGCTCCACAGTTAGTAATCGATGAAGACAGAATTTGAACCCAGGACTTTCTGACACCAAGGCCATGTTTTTCCCATCTAACCATTTTGGGAACACCAAAAGCACAAAGTACGGTTCCTTCCTTTAGGAGATGTAGTCCAGTGGGGAAGACAGATGTGATCTAGGAAAATGTCAGTCACTCCCACTATAGACACCACCTCTTCATCGATTCATTGTTGGGTCTTAGAAGACCAGTACATTTAGGAGCCCAGATTCTCGGGAAGAATCCTTGTTTATACTATTCCATTTGATCATCACAACAACTCATAAAGGCCCAGTAAGGTGAAGGGCTTTACTCAATATTACATAGCTACTAAAGGGAAGGTGAGACTCCCGGTGAAGGTTGTTATAATTCCAAAGGACTAACTTATTTCATTATATCAAATTGCCTCCTGGGATCCTTGGGTGACACGTCCTTGGGGCTGGTTGCATAAAAGCCAAAGACCCAGAATAGGAGAGTCTACAGTGAGCAGGAAGTCCAATGTCTAGGTCAGCTCTATAAACCAGGGCAGGAAGGGGCACTAGTACATGTGTTTTGACCATTAGACTGGGGTGTGTGCCCAGGCTTGCCCCCAATCTAATGGAAGAGACAGCACTTACGGAAGTGGCAGGTGGTCAGTAAATTCCACATTCACCATGGTGAAAATTTTGTGTTTTTTTGTTTTACTTTTTGTTGTGGAAATTCTTATTCATCTATAAAATTGGGAATAAAAGTATAACCACCCTCATGAACCCATCACCCAGCTACATCAGTGATCAACATGTGGTCAATCTTATTTATTTATACTCCCTTCAATGCATTATTCTAAAGTTAATCCCAGACATCATATTTCTTCTGGAAATATGTTAGCATGTACCTCTAAAATGACTCTCTTTTAAAATGTAAACATAATGTTATAGCACCTTAAAAAACCCAATTCTTCAATATTATCAAATGTTATTAGTATTCAAATTCCCAGCCATATTCCATATATTGATTTTACATATATATACACACATATACACACTTAAAAATTATATATTTTTTATTTTTATTTTATTATTTTTTATATATATTATTTTTATTTAAAAATTTTTTTTAGAGATAATCTCTCTGTTGCCCAGGTTCACTGCAACCTTGAACTCCTGGGCTCCAGTGATCTTCCTGTCTCAGCCTCCCAAGTAGCTAGGACTGCTGGCACATGCCACTACATCTGGCTAACATGTATTGATTTTAAACAGTTTGTTTGAGTCAGGATCTGAATAAGGTGCAAATATTGATATTTGTTGTCTCTTAAGTAATTTTTATTTTGACTTTTTAAAAATTTCATGAGTTTTGGCAGAACAGATGGTGTTTGGTTGCATGGAAAAGTTCTTTAGTGATGATTTCTGAGATTTTGGTGCACTCATCACCTAAGCAGTGTAGCCAATGCATAGTTTTATCCCTCACCCACCTACTGCCCTTTTTCTTGAATCCCCAAAATCCATTATATCATTCTTATGCCTTTACACCCTCATAGCTTAGCTCCCGCTTGTGAAAACATATGATGTCTACTTTCCCATTCCTGAGTTACTTCACTTAGAATAATGGTCTTCAAACTCCATCCAGCTTGCTTTGAATGCCATTATTTCATTCCTTTTTTATGGCTGAGTAGCTCTCCATGGTGTACATATACCATATTTCATCAACCAACCACTTGTTGGTTGATGGGCATTTACGCTGGTTCCATACCTTTGCAATTGTGAATTGTGATGCTATAAACATGCATGTGTTTGTGTCTTTTTCATATAATGACTTCTTCTTCTTCTTCTTTTTTCTGAGATGGAGTCTTGCTCTGTTGCCCAAGCTGGAGTGTAGTGGTGCGATCTCAGCTCACTGTAACCTCCGTCTCCCAGGTTGAAGCAATTCTCCTGCTTCAGACTCTTGAATAGCTGGGATCGCAGGTGCCCGCCACCATGCCCAGCTAATTTTTGTATTTTTAGTAGACACAGGGTTTTACCATTTTGGCCAGGCTGGTCTTGAACTCCTGACCTCATGATCCATCCACCTTGGCCTCCCAAAGTGCTGGGATTACAGGTGTGAGCCACTGCGTTCAGCCACTGACTTCTTATTCTTTGGGTGGATACCCAGTAGTGAGATTGCTGGATCAAATGGTAGCTCTACTTTTAGTTCTTTGAGGAATCTCCATACTGTTTTCCATAGTGGTTGTACTAGTTTACATTTCCACCAACAGTGTAAAAGTGTTCCCTTTTCACCACATCCATGCCAACATGTTATTTATTGATTTTTTAAATTATAGCCATTCCTGCAGGAATAAGGTGGTATCTCATTGTGGTAATGACTTGCATTTCCCTAATAATTAGTGATGTTGAATATTTTTTCATATATTTGTTGGCCATCTGTATATCTTCTTTTGAAAATTGTCTATTCATGTCCTTTGCCCACTTTTTGATGGGATTGTTTTTTTCTTGCTGACTTGTTTGAGTTCCTTGTAGATTCTGGATAGTAGTCCTTTGTCAGATGCATAGTTTGCGAAAATTTTCTCCCACTCTCTGGGTTGTCTGTTTACTCTGCTGATTATTTCTTTTGCTGTACAGAAGGTTTTTAGTTTAATTAGGTCTCATCTATTTATCTTTTTGTTCAATTTGCTGTTGGATTCTTGGTCATGAACTCTTTGCCTAAGCCAATGTATGGAAGAGTTTTTCTGATGTTATCTTCTATAATTTTTATGGTTTCAGGTCTCAGATTTAAGTCTTTGATCTATCTTGAGTTGATTTTTGTATAAGGTGAGAGAGGAGAATCCAGCTTCATTCTTCTACATGTGGCTTGCCAATGATCCCAGCACCACTTGTTGAACAGGGTGTCCCTTCCTGACTTTATGTTTTTGTTTGCTGTGTTGAAGATCAGTTGGCTATAAATATTTGGCTTTATTTCTGGGTTCTCTATTCTGTTTCATTGGTTTAAGTGGCTATTTTTATACCAGTACCATGCTGTTTTGGTAACTATGGCCTGGTAGTATAGTTTGAAGTCAGGTAATGTGATGCCAACAGATCTGTTCTTTTTGCTTAGTATTGCTTTGGCTATGTGGGGTCTTTTATGGTTCCATATGAATTTTAGGATTATTTTTTCTAGTTTTGTGAAGAATGATGATGGTATTTTGATGGGAGTTGCACTGAATCTGTAGATTGCTTTTGGCATTATGGTCATTTTCACAATATTGATTGTACCCATCCATGAGCATGAGGTGTGTTTTCATTTGTTGGTGTCATCTATAATTTCTTTCAGTACTGTTCTGTAGTTTTCCTTGTAGAGATCTTTCACCTCCCTGGTTAGGTATATTCCTAAGTATTTTATTTTTTTGCAGCTGTTGTAAAAGGGGTGAGTTCTTGATTTGATTCTCAGCTTGGTCACTTTGGTGTATAGCAGTGCTACTGATTTGTGTACATTGATTTTGTATTCTGAAACTTTACTGAATTCATTTATCAGATCTAGGAGCTTTTTGGATGAATCTTCAGGGTTTTTGGATGAATCTTTTTGGATGAATGATATAATCATATCATTGGGGAACAGTAACAGTTTGACTTACTCTTTACCGATTTGGATGCCCTTCATTTCTTTCTCTTGTCTGATTGCTCTGGCTGGTACTTTTAGTACTATGTTGAATAGAAGTGGAGAAAGTGGGCATCATTGTCTTGCTCCAGTTCTCAGGGGGAATGCTTTCAACTTTTCACTGTTCAGTATAATGTTGGCTGTGGGTTTGTCATAGATGGCTTTTATTACCTTGAAGTATGCCCCATCTATGCTGACTTCACTGAGGGTTTTAATCATAAAGGATGCTGGATTTTGTCAAACGCTTTTCTGTGTCTATTGAGATGGTCATATGATTTTTAATTCTGTTTATGTGATGTATCACATTTATCGATTTGTATATGTTAAACCATCCCTGCATCCTTGGTGTAAAACCCACTTGATCATGGTTTATTATCTTTTTGATACGTTGTTTGATTTGGTTAGCTAGTATTTTGTTGATGTTTTTTGCATCTATATTCACCAGGGATATTGGTCTGTAGTTTTCTTTTTTGTTATGTCCTTTCCTGGTTTTGGAATTAGGGTGATACTGACTTCACAGAATGATTTAGGGAGGTTTCCCTGTT
This sequence comes from Homo sapiens, assembly GCF_000001405.40. NCBI lineage: Eukaryota > Metazoa > Chordata > Mammalia > Primates > Hominidae > Homo > Homo sapiens. The sequence continues at coordinate 133,322,639 of NC_000003.12, read as the reverse complement.
TCTCTATCTTTTGGAATAGTTTCAGTAAGATTGTTATCAATCCTTTGAATGCCTGATGGAATTCAGCTGTGAATCCGTCTGGTCCTGGATTTTTTTGCTGTTAATTTTTTTATTACTTTTTCAATTTCACTATTTGTTATTGGTCCGTTCAGACTTTCTGCTTCTGCCTGATTTAATCTAAGAGGGTTGTGTATTTCCAGGAATTTATCCACCTCCTCTAGGTTTTCTAGTTTGTGCATGTAAAGGTGTTCATAGTAGTGTTGAATGATCTTTTGTATTTCTGTGGTGTCAGTTGTAGTATCTCTCGTTTCATTTCTAATTGAGCTTATTTCAATTTTCTCTCTGTTTTCTTGGTTAATCTTGCTAATGGTCTATCAATTTTATTTATCTTTTCAAAGAACCAGCTTGTTTCATTTATCTTTTGTATTTTTTTTGTTTCAATTTTATTTAATTCTGCTCTGATCTTTGTTATTGCTTTTCTTCTGCCGGGTTTGGGTTTGGATTGTTGTTGTTTCTCTAGTACCTTGAGGTGTAACCTTAGACTGTCTCTTTGTGCTCTTTCAGACTTTTTGATGTAGGCATTTAATGCTATGAACTTTCCTCTTAGCACCACTTTTCCTGTGACCCAGAAGTTTTGATAAGCTGTGTCAAAATTATCATTCAGTTCAAAGGATTTTTAATTTCCATCTTGATTTCACTGTTGACCCAAAGATAATTCAGGAGCAGATTATTTAATTTTCATGTATTTCTATAGTTTTGAGGGTTCCATTTGGAATTAATTTCCAGTTTTTTTCCACTGTGGTCTGAGAGGGCACTTGGTATAATTTTGGCTTTCTTCAATTCATTGAGATTTGTTTTGTGGCCTATCATATGGTCTGTCTTGGAGAATGTTCCATGTGATGATGAAAAGAATGTATATTCTGCAGTTATTGGGTAGAATGTTCTGTAAATATCTGTTAAGTCCATTTGTTCTAGGGCATAGTTTAAGTTCATTGTTTCTTTGTTGACTTTGTGTCTTGATAACCTGTCTGGTGCTGTCAGTGGAGTACTGAAGTCTGGTGCTGTCAGTGGAGTATTTTTTTGTTGCTGTCTATCTCATTTCTTATGTCTAGTAATAATTGTTTTATAAATTTGGAAGCTCCAATGTTAGGTGCATATATATTTAGGATTGTGATATTTTCCAGTTGGATTGATCCTTTTATCATTATATAATGTCCTTCTTTGTCTTTTTAAACTGTTGTTGCTTCAAAGTTTGTTTTGTCTGATATAAGAATCGCTACTCTTGCTCACTTTTGGTGACCATTTGCATGGAATATCTTTCCCCACCACTTTACCTTAAGTTTCTGTGAGTCCTTATGTGTTAGGTGAGTCTCTTGAAGACAGCACATACTTGGTTGGTGGATTTTTATCTATTCTGCCATTCTCTATCTTTTAAGTGGAACATTTAATCCATTTTACATTCAATGTTATTGAGATGTGACATACTGTTTTATTCATTGTACTAGTTGTTGTCTGAATGCCTTGTTTTTTTGTGTTATTGTTTTATGGGCCCTGTGAGATTTATGCTTTAAGAAGATTCTATTTTGGTGTATTTTAAGGTTTTGTGTCAAGATTTAGATCTCTTTTTAGAATTTCTTGTAGTGCTGGCTTGAGAGTGGCAAATGCTCTCAGCATTTGTTAGTCTGAAAAAGACTTTATCTCTCCTTCATTTATGAAGCTTAGTTTTTGCTCAATACAAAATTCTTGGCTAGCAATTATTTTGTTTGAGGAGGTTAATGATAGAACTCCCATCCCTTCTGGCTTGTCGGGTTTCTGCTGAGAAATGTGCCGTTAATCTAATAGGTTTTCCTTTATAGGTTACCTGATGACTTTGCCTCACAGCTCTTAAGATTTTTTCCCTGTCTTGACTTTGGATAACCTGATGATTACGCACCTGGGTGATGACCTTTTTGTGTTGCATTTCCCAGGTTTCCTTCGAGCTTCTTGTATTTGGATGTCTAGATTTCTAGCAAGGCCAGGAAAGTTTTCCTTGATTATTCCCCCAAATATGTTTTCAAAACTTCTAGATTTCTCTTCTTCCTCAGGAACACCAATTATTCTTACATTTGTGTATGTAACATAATCCAAAATTTCTTGGAGGCTTTGTTCATTTTGTTTTGTCTTTTTCTCATTGGGTAACTTGAAAAACTTGTCTTCAAGATCTGAAGTTCTTTCTTCTACTTGTTTGATTCTACTGTTGAAACTTTCTAGTATATTTTGTATTTCTCTAAGTGTGTCTTTCATTTCCAGAAGTTGTGATTGTTTTTTTTTTCTTTATGATAGCTATTTCTTTGGAGCATTTTTTATCCATATCCTGTATATATTTTTTAATTTCTTTAAGTTGGTTTTCACCTTTCTCTGGTATTTCCTTGAGTCACTTAATAATCAACCTTCTGAACTCTTTATCTGGCAATTCAGATATTTCTTCTTGGTTTGAATCCACTGCTGGGGAGCTAGTATGGTCTTTTTGGAGTGTTATAGAACCTTGTTTTATTTAAATGTGGAGATGGAGTCTATGTTGCCCAGGCTGGTCTTGAACTCCTGGGCTCAAGTGATCTTCCCACCTCAGCCTCCCAAAATGCTGGGATTACAGGCATGAGCCACTGCGCCCAGCCAGAACCTTGTTTTGTCATATTGTCTGAATTACTTTTCTGATTCCTTCTCATCTGGGTAGACTATTTCAGTGGAAAAATCTGGAACTTAAGGGCTGCTCTTCAGATTCTTTTGTCCCATGAGGTGGTCTCATGAAGGACTCATGAAGGTCCCATGAAGGGTCCCCTTCCCCTAGGGATGGGGCTTCCTGTGAACTAGACTGCAGTGATTGTTGTTCTTCTGGGTCTAGCAACCCAGTGGGGCTACCAGGCTCTGGGTTGGCGCTAGGGAATGTCTGCAAAGAGTCCTGTGATGCAATCCATCTTCAGGTCTCCCAAACATGGATACCGGCACCTGCTCTGGTGGAGGTGGCAGGGGAGTGAAGTAGACTCTGTGAGAGTCCTTGGTTTTAGATATGTTTAGTGTACTAGCTTTCTTGAATGCTAGTTATGTTAGCAGTGAAGTTGTCATGTGGACAGACTCAGGACCACTGGTCAGCCAGAATGTTGCATGCAATGGAATTAGATGTTTTCTCCTTCCTTGCAGCAGGGTTGTTCTGTCATGAGTTTCCGTAATGTCCTGAGTTGGTTGGCCTACAGCCAGGAGGTCGTGCTTTCAAGAAAGCACCAGCTGCAACAGAAGTGGGATATAAGCTTGCCCTAAGTTGGCCAGGATAAGTATTCAGGTTTCTGAGGCAATGGTCAGGGTCATAAAGCTCCCAAGAGTTTATGTCTTTCGTGATTGGCTACCGGGACAGGTAGAGAAAAATCATCAGGCGGGGGCAGTGTTAGGCAGGACCCAGCTCAGACTCTTCTTGGGCAAGGGCTTGCCGTAGCTACCATGGGGGATAAAGGGGTGGTTCTTGGGCCAACGGGGTTATGTTCCAGAGGGGATTAGGGTTGCCTCTGTCACCAGGGAAGTGGGGGAAAGCCAGTTGTGATGGGCCTCACCCAGCTCCCATGCATTTGGTGAGGCCAATCTCTCTCCCACTGTGGCCTGCAAACAGCGCTGAGTTTATCTCCAGGCAGCCTGTCCACAGGACTCAGACCTAGCCCCAGGCTATACACTTCCCCTGAGTTTTTTTTTTTGCCTATCTCGCAGAATTTGCTGCTTCTTTCAAAGGATCTAGAAATTATTTTGGTTTTCCTGTTATGCTCCTGCAGTGGTTCCTGGAACAAAATTCCATGGTGTGAGTCTCCACATGCTATTCTGTCCATCCAAATGGGAGCTGCATGTCAGTCCTGTCTCCTATTCACCATCTTCCCAGAACTCCCCCTCTTAAGTAATTTTTAATCTATATGTTATTTTCCCTTTCTCTTTTTTCTTATGATTTATTTGCTGAGAAAGACAGGTCATTTGTCCTGTATACTGTCCCACTTCAGATTTTGTTGAGTGCACCCTCATCTGGGAGAGATTTTTAGAGTAAAAAATGAGGTACTTATGAGAACATGGCTGGGTGTCATGCAAAGTTCATAGATTCTGGAATCAGAGAGATCTGGTTTTAAATTCTTGGACTGCAACTAGCTATATGAATTTCAGCAAGATACTTTTCATTTTCCAATTACCTAATCTATAAAATGGGTTTGAAAAATGACAGTGCCTAACAGATGGTAATTCTAAGGAAAAAATGTTAAAAAGAAGCAACTATGAGACTATAATATCCTTGAGATGTAAACCAGTTACTATCCCCATTTTTCCTCCCCTATGCTGTCACTGGAGTGAAAGTACCAGTGTAGTGTCTTCCAGGGGCGTTCACTCCAAGGCAGAAGTCTCCCTCTGGGCAATCTGTAGCTTTGTTTTACTGGCACAAAAGAACACTACTTGGTGTGTCACTTTTAAAGTTTGAAATCCAATGTGTTTCTTAATTTCCCTTGTGTCACACAGCAAAGCACCACCAGCAATCTGAACTGTAAGAGCTTGTTTGTGACAAAGATCCCACAGTCTGCTTCACTTGATAGACAGGGAAATCCAGAGAGTGAAATGACTGGCCTCTTGCCTCCCACTTTGGAACCCATTTCTATTCCAAAATTAGACTACTGGCTGAATTTTTCTCCTTTCCAACTGAAGCACCATCCTTCAACACATATATTCTCCTTTCTGGCTTTACATTTTTTTCATTGCATGTATCCCTATCTAACATACTATACATTTTACTTCTTTATTCCTGTTCACTAGTCTTTCCCCTCTAGAATATCAGTACCACGAGGGGAAGGATTTGTTCGGTTTTGTTTGCTGCTATGTCCCCAACTCCTAGAATGGTGTCTGGCATATAGAAAGTACTCAATTAGTATCTGCTGGATGGAGTTATATTGAAAATAGACCCTTTTGGTTCTTATTATTTGGGGCATTCACACCATATAACATCTCTAGCCAAGATGACATTAAAGGTTGCAAGCAATTACTATTGTTAATGCTCATCACATTTCTATTCTGCTTATTTTCAAAATTAGGTCTGGTGTTTATGTTCCTGCCTATAATTTAAGTTCTGTTTCCAGTCTGTTATTCTGTAAGCCATCTGGGAAATGTGTAAATCTATTACCCACAATTTTTAGAATCTCATTTCTTATAAAAATCATATTATTGATACATGCCAAGATCTTCAGGAGTTGGCAAAAATTTCCCTTTTTCACCCTGTGAGATAGTGTCATTGCTGACTTAGTAAAGGTGGTAAAAGCTCAGCATTTTGCTGAGAGCCTGTCAAGTATCTTGTATCAAGAGAATAGTATACACAGTTTTTTTTAAAGGCCATCATAGTAATACAGTAACAGCAATGCATATATTCCTTGGGGATACAAATCCCTTTCAACGTCCGTATCATTGAATTAGATGGGTAATATTAGGGCTGTGGATACACAGAGAATGTTTGTCAGTCCAGGAACTTGGAATGCTTTTCAATCACTCACAATAACAGCTGTAGTTCACATTTGAATAAATCCTTACTTTGACAAGCACAAAGGTATCTACAAACCTTCCCATCCTGGCCACACTGGAATTTTCAGTAGCGTTCTTTTATGCTAAAAGAGGTTGCTGCAGATCCCTTTTACTTACAGAGGGAATTTTCTCCCACCCACAGTTTGACTTCCCTGGGCTCTATCTTCTGGCTTGGTATTCAGATTTTCCTGCTCTGTCTATGTCAACTCACTTAGACGGTCTGTCTGGCCTTTCAATTTTGCATCACCCAAGGCCCTGTTCTTCAGCTCACCCTGAGGTCTTGCCCACTACAAACTGAGGACCAGCATGCTCACCTTGGGTCTGATTTGGGTCCCTGGGGACCTTGCCAGCTAGGCTGTTTGGATAGGGGGAAGAATCTGACATTTTGGCTCATTCTCAAAACATTCCAGAGTTACAGGTAAGGTATAGAGTTTGACCACACTTCTTTATCCACAAAGAAAAGATGTTTATATGTGTTTTTAAATCTTTCTCCTCTCCCTGCCTTATAATGGGAAGCTCTTCAGTATCTAAGGTTCAGACCTTTTTCGACAAGCACTAGGCATAATGATGTTCAAGTGATAGTACAGCACACTTTCACTGGGATAAACCTAATGACCACACAGCTCTCTAAGTGATGATGCTAAAGATATAGCCTCTTCAGTGTATACCCTTACAACTGGTACCCAATGGGTACCAACTTTCTTTTAAAGGTATTTTAAAAATGTACTTTTTTCAGTTTCCATTGCAAAATATGTTCATATAATATGGAGGATATCTATACAAAGAAGGGAAACAAACTGAGTGCCCATAGTCTCACCACTTAAAGGGAATCACTCAACCTAATGATTTTTTGCAAGAATGTGGGGTACGTATTTCATTTGTTTTATTTCATGTTTATTTATCTCCCTCTTCCCCATATGTGTGTTTCTATTTATTCGCCTTATTTTGTGTGATGAATGGAATACCTAATGAAACAGTGACTCCAGACCAGCTGATTACCAGAAGAAATGTTTGTCTTTTTATTAGTCTCTCTTTTTATTTTATCATTTGTGTGTGTTACAAGAAAGGCTGCAGGGCTTTAAGTCGTCTCTGGTTCTTAGTAGTGCGGAGGTCTATTTTGAGGACATGTGCTAGCTAAAGCTGCAGAGTATGTATACATGCTTTTTATGTCTCAATATCAATGTATAACACCAATGTTCACTCAATTATGTATTCCTTACTCATTTAATGTTAATCTATAATATAAAATAAAGTGATTTTGCAAACAAGTATTTGTAGGGGTTGTCCATTGCCAAAGTTGGGTTAAATTTAGTTTTCATTCCCCAAAGATCTAAAGTTACAAAATCCATCTCTCGGCTACTTCGTTGGTCTTTATTTCTGAGACAGACTTAACTACTTTTGCTACAGCCACTGTGGCTGTTGGGTTTGGTGAAACCAGCACATCAGCAAGACTTCCTGCTGGGGTAGCTGTGAGCCTGGAAGAGGCAGAAGCACTGGAGATTGTGTTGTTAGTGTCCCCATCTTGTCTGGCTCTTTATGGAATCTGTGTTTGGCTGATACCACAGACCCAAGCTCTCATGGGTGTGGGGGCTGGGGTGAGGGGCCAAGCATTTCTGTGGGGACACAGGCTGGTCCAGGCCTCCTTCCACAGACCCAGGTGTGGTCCTCAGGGCTTTCTGTGTTTCAAAGTCATTTAAGGTAACAAAATGCACAAAAGATTGGAGGGAGGAGGGACCCTCCCCAGGGACCTATAAAGCAGGACTCAAAAGCTCTGAGCGGCTTCTCTTTATTGCGGGTCACCTATCAATTGCTATGTGATCTTAGGCAAGTTACTGAACCACTGGTTACTTCTTCAACCATAAAAACAGGATATTAATCCATGCCTTTACTTTCTTCAGTAGAATAATAGGATAAGGACAACAATACTTAACCTCTATTAAGCACTTCCTGTATGCATTGCTCTAAGCACTTGATCGATGTTATCTTTAGTTCTTACAACAACCTATTAATAGGGATCCACTATTGTCTCCATATTACAAACAGGAAAACCGAGACAAAACAAGATTAAGTAACTTTGTTTGAGATTATACAGTCAGTGGATGGTGATGCCAAGTTTTAAACTAAGGCATTTTGGCTATATTGCCTGAAAAAAGATGTTACCAAGAGTGTCTTGAAAGGGCAAAGAGCTATGCAAATCCAGGTTGTCGTTGTCACTGTTATTTCTTTCAGAGAGCTATATCAATAGTAATAAGCTTTTGGTGTTGGAATGAGCTATTTCTAAGGACTAGGCCATTTCAAAATCTAAACTCATGCTGTCTGTTCTTGTCCCATAGACTTTTGGGCAAAGCTATCCATCCACCAATTACCAGGATGGATTCCATGCTACAAAGCACCAGCAGATCCCAAACAATCATAGACATCTGAGGGACTAGGTGGAGAAATGGCTTTAGTGTGCACATTACAGCTCTCAGGTGACCTTGGCTGTAATGTATAATGGGAATACTTAGACTTTAGAGGCAAAAGTGACTTGGAGAATGAGGGTTCTTAATGAGGACCAGCTATACAACCATTCTTTCCCAAAGCATGCATGTTCCTAGGAAAATTATCAGTCTAAGAATTGGAGTTGATCTGGAAATTGCGTTCCATCATTGAAATCACAGCTAATAATCTAAAAGCGCTTTTGAAGGCAACTGATCCTTCTATTTGGTTGTGCCTTCAATTAGCATCTACATGATTTAATAACAAAGCTGCCATCCTCTCCTATTAACTGGATGAGAGATACTGATGAGAGATGGCATACACTTTAGAGTTGTCATCATCCTTTTTATTTTCCCAAGCTATTAGAAATATTTTTTCCAAGTATTACTCTTTCCAGTAAAGTCCGAGCCACTTCTTTTCTTTCAAGATGTTCATTTATCTTCATTAGATGAAACAGAAAAAAATAAACTCTTAAAAATTCCTGCAGGAACACAGCTCCATCCATTTATTCATGAACAAGCATGGCAGGAATCAAATCAGAGAAGTTTTTTTGACTAGAGATATTAATAAGACAGCAGAAAGGAGTTATTTTTGTACTAGATTATAGCGGATAAGAAAACTGTCATCCAATTGGTAGCAGCTTTCTCTAATTCTAATCATCCATGCATTAGGGAAAATCCTTAAATTCACATTAAAAAGGTCTTCAGGCATTAATGCCATTATAAATGCTCTCTTCACAGGGGTTAGCAATTACTGTGTTGCAAGCAGAAGAGCAGTTCCTCTCTTTTCCAGGGACACTGAGAAAAATCTAAACGTGCTGGTCTAAAAAAGAAGTCGGAGGACTTACTAAATGCAAGGGGAAGATAGTAATTACACAGTGGGGAAACTGAACAACATCTTGATTGGGTGATGAAAATTAACATCAATGAAGGGCAGATGGACATTGCATGTGTCCAGAAAGGGTGCACTAGAAGGATATGTCATCAACTAAGTGGTATTCCGACTTGGGAGGCACAGCATGAATGGAATCAGGAGGAAACGTCAGACAAAGACAAGAGAAAGAATATTTATTTAAAAATGTATCTTAAAGCACATTTTAAATTATTAAAAAATTTGGCCAGGCGCGGTGGCTCACGCCTGTAATCCCAGCACTTTGGGAGGCCAAGGCAGGTGGATCACGAGGTCAGGAGATTGGGACCACGGTGAAAACCCGTCTCTACTAAAAATACAAAGAATTAGCCAGGCGTGGTGGTGGGCAACTGTAGTCCCAGCTACTTGGGAGGCTGAAGCAGGAGAATGGTGTGCACCCGGGAGGCGGAGCTTGCAGTGAGCTGAGATCGCACCACTGCACTCCAGCCTGGGTGACAGAGAGAGACTCCATCTCAAAAAAAAAAAAAATTATATATATGTATTTGCAGAAATTATCCAGAAATTTTGAAAATGTATTTTCAAAACTGTTAATGCTATAAATGGCAAAGAAAGGCTAGACAAACGTTCCAGATTAAAGAGAAATGAAAACTAAGTAAATTTTGTGGTCCTAGACTGGGTCTTGCTCAGGAAGAAAATATGTTATAAAGCACATACTGATTGATAAAATTAGAATATTGATAATAGATTAGATGAAAGCATTGTAACAATTTTAGATATAGTAAAGATATAGTAAAGTTGGTAATTCTACTGTGGTTCTGTAAGAGAATGTCATTCTTAAGACAATAAAATGAAGGAGGGAGGGTTCCGTTCCAAGATGGCCCAAAAGGAAGAGCTCTGGTCTGCAGCTCCCAGCGTGATCGATGCAGAAGATGGGTGATTTCTGCATTTCCAAGTGAGGCACCTGGTTCATCTCACTGGGACTGGTTGGACAGTGGATGCAGCCCACAGAGGGCGAGCCAAAGCAGGGCAGGGCATTGCCTCACCTGGGAAGCACAAGGGGTCAGGGGATTTCCCTTTCCTAGCCAAGGGAAGCTGTGACAGACTGTACCTGGAAAAACAGGACACTCTGCCCAAATACTGCGCTTTTCACATGGTCTTAGCAACCAGCAGACCAGGAGATTCTCTCCCATGCCTGGTGGGTCCCACACCCACAGAGCCTTGCTCACAGCTAGTGCAGCAGTCTGAGATTGACCCACGAGGCTGCTGCCTTGTGGCGGGGAGAGGCGTCTGCCATTGCTGAGGCTTGAGTAGGTAAACAAAGTGGCCAGGAAGCTCAAACTGGGTGGAGCCCACCACAGCTCAGCAAGGCCTACTGACTCTAGGACTCCATCTCTGTGGGTAGTGCATAGCTGAACAAAAGACAGCAGAAACTTCTGCAGACTTAAACATCCCTGTCTGACAGCTCTGAAGAGAGCAGTGGTTCTGCCAGTATGGTGTTTGAGCACTGAGAATGGACAGACCGCCTCCTCAAGTAGGTCCCTGACCCCTGTGTAGCCTAACTGGGAGATACCTCCCAGTAGGGGCTGACAGACACCTCATACAGGCGGGCACCCCTCTGGGATGAAGCTTCCAGAGGAAGGATCAGGCAGCAATATTTGCTGTTCTGCAATATTTGCTGTTTTGCAGCCTCTGCTGGTGATACGCAGGCAAACAGGGTCTGGAGTGGATGTCCAGCAAACTCCAACAGACCTGCAGCTGAGAGACCTGACTGTTAGAAGGAAAACTAACAAACAGAAAGGAATAGCACCAACATCAACAAAAAGGACATCCACACCAAAACCCCATCTGTAGGTCACCATCATCAAAGACCAAAGGTAGATAAAACCACAAACATGGGGAGAAACCAGGGCAGAAAAGCTGAAAATTCTAAAAACCGGAGTGCCTCTTCTCCTCCAAAGTGTCGCAGCTCCTCGCCAGCAATGGAACAAAGCTGGACGGAGAATGACTTTGATGAGTTGACAGCAGTAGGCTTCAGAAGGTTGGTAATAAACTTCTCTGAGCTAAAGGAGCATGTTCTAACCCATTCGAAGGAAGCTAAAAACGTTGAAAAAAGGTTAGATGAATGGCTAACTAGAATAAACAGCGTAGAGAAGACCTTAAATGACCTGATGGAGCTGAAAACCATGGCACGAGAACTTTGTGACACATGCACAAGCTTCAATAGCCAATTCGATCAAGTGGAAGAAAGGGTATCAGTGATGGAGGATCAAATCAATGAAATAAACTGAGAAGACAAGTTTAGAGAAAAAAGAGTAAAAAGAAATGGACAAAGCCTCCAAGAAATATGGGACTATGTGAAAAGACCAAATCTACATCTGATTGGTGTACCTGAAAGTGACAGGGAGAATGGAACCAAGTTGGAAAATACTCTTCAGGATATTATCCAGGAGAACTTCCCCAACCTAGCAAGGCCAACTTTCAAATTCAGGAAATACAGAAAACACCACAAAGATACTCTTCGAGAAGAGCAACCCCAAGACACATAATTGTCAGATTCACTAAGGTGGAAATGAAGGAAAAAATGTGAAGGGCAGCCAGATAAGGTTACCCACAAAGGGAAGCCCATCAGACTAACAGCAGATCTCTCAGCAGAAGCCCTACAAGCCAGAAGAGAGTGGGGGTCAATATTCAACATTCTTACAGAAAAGAATTTTCAACCCAGGATTTCATATCCAGCCAAACTAAGCTTCATAAGCGAAGGAGAAACAAAATCCTTTACAGACAAGCAAATGTTGAGAGATTTTGTCACAACCAGGCCTGCCTTACAAGAGCTCCTGAAGGAAGCACTAAACATGGAAAGGAACAACTGCTACCAGCCACTGCAAAAACATGGCAAATTGTAAAGACCAATGATGCTATGAAGAAACTGTATCAATTAACGGGCAAAATAACCAGCAAACATCATAATGACAACATCAAATTCACACATAACAATATAAACCTTAAGTGTAAATGGACTAAATGCCCCAATTAAAAGACACAGACTGGCAAATTGGACGGAGTCAAGACTCATCAGTGTGCTGTATTCAGGAGACCCACCTCAATGTGCAGAGACACACATAGGCTCAAAATAAAGGGATGGAGGAAGATCTACCAAGAGAATGGAAAGCAAAAAAAAAAAAAAAAAAAAAAAAAAAAAGCAGGGGTTGCAATCCTAGTCTCTGATAAAACAGACTTTAAACCAACAAAGACCAAAAGAGACAAAGAAGGCCATTACATAATGGTAAAGGGATCAATTCAACAAGAAGAGCTAATTATCCTAAATATATATGCACCCAATACAGGAGCACCAAGATTCATAAAGCAAGTCCTTAGAGACCTACAAAGAGACTTAGACTCCCACACAATAATAATGGGAGACTTTAACAACCCACTGTCAATATTAGACAGATCAACGAGACAGAAGGTTAACAAGGATATCCGGGACTTGAACTCAACTCTGGACCAAGTGGACCTAATAGACATCTACAGAACTCTCCACCCCATATCAACAGAATATACATTCTTCTCAGCACTACATCACACTTACTCTAAAATTGACCACATAATTAGAAGTAAAGCAAATATAAAAGAACTCCTCAGCAAATGTAAAAGAACAGAAATCACAACAAACTGTCTCTCAGACCACAGTGCAATCAAATTAGAACACAGGATTAAGAAACTCACTCAAGGCCGGGCGCGGTGGCTCACGCCTGTAATCCCAGCACTTTGGGAGGCCGAGGAGGGTGGATCACGAGGTCAGGAGATCGAGACCATCCCGGCTAAAACGGTGAAACCCCGTCTCTACTAAAAATACAAAAAATTAGCCGGGCGTAGCGGCTGGCGCCTGTAGTCCCAGCTACTTGGGAGGCTGAGGCAGGAGAATAGCGTGAACCCGGGAGGCGGAGCTTGCAGTGAGCCGAGATCCCGCCACTGCACTCCAGCCTGGGCGACAGAGCGAGACTCCGTCTCAAAAAAAAAAAAAAAAAAAAAAAAAAAAAAAAAAAAGAAACTCACTCAAACCCGCATAACTACACGGAAACTGAACAACCTGCTCCTGAATGACTACTGGGTACATAACAAAATTAAGGTAGAAAAAAATTAAGGTTGAAACCAATGAGAACAAAGACACGACGTACCAGAATCTCTGGGACACATTTAAAGCAGTGTGTAGAGGGAAATTTATAACACTAAAAGCACACAAGAGAAAGCAGGAAAGATCTAAAATTGACACCCTAACATCACAATTAAAAGAACTAGAGAAGCAAGGGCAAACAAATTCAAAAGCTAGCAGAAGGTGAGAAATAACTAAGATCACAGCAGAACTGAAAGAGATAGACACACAAAAAACCCTTCAAAAAATCAAAGAATCCAGGAGCTGGTTTTTTGAAAAGATTAACAAAATTGATAGACTGCTAGCAGGACTAATAAAGAAGAAAAGAGAGAAGAATCAAATAGACGCAATAAAAAATGACAAAGGGGATATCACCACCGATCCCACAGAAATACAAACTACCATCAGAGAATACTATAAACACCTCTACACAAATAAACTAGAAAATCTAGAAGAAATGGATAAATTCCTGGATACATACACCCTCCCAAGACTAAACCAGGAAGAAGTTGAATCTCTGAATAGACCAATAATAGGCTCTGAAATTGAGGCAATAATTAATAGCCCACCAACCAAAAACAGTCCAGGACCAGATGGATTCAGAGCCAAATTCTACCAGAGGTACAAAGAGGAGCTGGTACCATTCCTTCTGAAACTATTCCAATCAATAGAAAAAGAGAGAATCCTCCCTAACTAGTTTTATGAGGCCAGTATCATCCTGATACCAAAGCCTGGCAAAGACACAACAAAAAAAGAGAATTTTAGACCAATATCCCTGATGAATACTGATGTGAAAATCCTCAATAAAATACTGGCAAACCGAATCCAGCAGCACATCGAAAAGCTTATCCACCACGATCAAGTAGGCTTCACCCCGCGGATGCAAGGCTGGTTCAACATACGCAAATCAATAGACGTAATCCATCACATAAACAGAACCAAAGACAAAAACCACATGATTATCTCAATAGGTGCAGAAAAGGCCTTCGACAAAATTCAACAGCCCTTCATACTAAAAACTCTCAATAAACTAGGTATTGATGGAACATATCTCAAAACAGTAAGAGCTATTTATGACAAACCCACAGCGAATATCATACTGAATGGGCAAAAACTGGAAGCATTCCCTTTGATAACCAGCACAAGACAAGGATGCCCTCTCTCACCACTCCTATTCAACATAGTGTTGGAAGTTCTGGCCAGGGTAATCACGCAAGAGAAAGAAATAAAGGGTTATTCAATTAGGAAAAGGGAAGTCAAATAGTTTCTGTTTGCAGATGACATGATTGTCTATTTAGAAAACCCCATCGTCTTAGCCCAAAATCTCCTTAAGCTGATAAGCAACTTCAGCAAAGTCTCAGGATACAAAACCCATATGCAAAAATCACAAGCATTCCTATACGTCAATAACAGACAAACAGAGAGCCAAATCATGAGTGAACTCCCATTCACAATTGCTACAAACAGAATAAAATACCTAGGAATCCAACTTACAAGGGATGTGAAGGACCTCTTCAAGGAGAACTACAAACCACTGCTCAATGAAACAAAAGAGGACACAAACAAATGGAAGAAGATTCCATGCTCATATACAGGAAGAATCAATATCGTGAAAATGGCCATACTGCCCAAGGTAATTTATAGATTCAATGCCATCCTCATCAAGCTACCAATGATTTGCTTCACAGAATTGGAAAAATCTACTTTAAAGTTCATATGAAACCAAAAAAGGGCCCGCCAAGACAATCCTAAGCAAAAAGAACAAAGCTGGAGGCTACCTGACTTCAAATTATACTACAAGGCTATAGTTACCAAAACAGTATAGTACTGGTACCAAAACAGATATACAGACCGATGGAACAGAACAAAGGCCTCAGAAATAACACCACACATCTACAACCATCTGATCTTTGACAAACCTGACAAAAACAAGAAATGGGGAAAGGATTCCCTATTTAATAAATGGTGCTGAGAAAACTGGCTAGCCATATGTAGATAGCTGAAACTGGATCTTTTCCTTACACCTTATACAAAAATTAATTCAAGATGGACTAAAGACTTAAATGTTAGACCTAAAACCATAAAAACCCTAGAAGAAAAACTAGGCAATACCATTCAGGACACAGGCATGGGCAAGGACTTCATGTCTAAAAGACCAAAAGCAATGGCAACAAAAGCCAAAATAGACAAATGGGACATAATTAAACTAAAGAGCTTCTGCACGGCAAAGAAACTACCATCAGAGTGAACAGGCAACCTACAGAAAGGGAGAAAATTTTTGCAATCTACCTATATGACAAAGGGCTAATATCCAGAATCTACAAAGAACTTAAACAAATTTACAAGAAAAAAACAAGCAATCCCATCATAAAGTGGGCAAAGGTTATGAACAGATACTTCTCAAAAGAAGGCATTTATGCAACAAACAGACACATGAGAAAATGGTCATCTTCACTGGTCATCAGACAAATGCAAATCAAAATCACAATGAGATACCATCTCACGCCAGTTAGAATGGCAATCATTAAAAAGTCAGGAAACAACAGATGCTGGAGAAGATGTGGAGAAATAGGAACACTTTTACACTGTTGGTGGGAGTGTAAATTAGTTAAACTATTATGGAAGACAATGTGGTGATTCCTCAAGGATCTAGAACTAGAAATACCATTTGACCCAGCGATTTCATTACTGGGTATATACCCAAAGAATTATAAATCATGCTGCTATAAAGACACACACACACACACGTATGTTTACTGTGGCATTATTCACAATATCAAAGACTTGGAACCAACCCAAACGTCCATCAATGATAGACTGGATTAAGAAAATGTGGCACATATACACCATGGAATACTATGCAGCCATAAAAAAGGATGAGTTCATGTCCTTTGCAGGGACATGGATGAAGCTGGAAACTATCATTCTCAGCAAACTATCACAGGGACAGAAAAACCAAACACCGCATGCTCTCACTCATACGTGGGAACTGAACAATGACAACACTTGGACACAGGGCGGTGAACATCACACACTGGGAACTGTCATTGAGTGGGGGGCTGGGGGAGGGATAACATTAGGAGAAATACCTAATGTAAATGACAAGTTAATGGGTGCAGCAAATCAACATGGCACATGTATACCTATGGAACATACCTGCACGTTGTGCACATGTACCCTAGAACTTAAAGTATAATAAAAAAAATTGAAGGAGGGAAAAGTCTTTTCAACCAATGATGCTGGGATAACTAGAAAGCCATATGCAAAAGTAATGAACTAGATTCTTACCTCACACTATATACCAAAATTAACACAATATGGTACTTAAATGTAAGAGTTAAAATTTTAAGACTTTTAGAAGTAAATACAGGAGATAATCTTTGTGACTCTGTGTTGGGCAGAGTTGTCAAAAATGAGAACAAATGCATAAACCATTAATGAAAAACTCAATAAATCGAACTTTATCAATAAAAATTAAAAAGTTTTGTGCTTCGAAAAGTACTATTAAGAAAATAAAGATATAAGCCACAGACAGAAAATATAAGCCACAGGAGAAAATATCTGCATAACATAGGTTTGCTAAAGACCTATATCTAGAATATATATAATGAACTGTTACAACTCAATAAAAAATTGGGCTCTTACACCCCAATTAAAAAATGGGCAAAATACATGAATAGACATGTCGCGAAAGAAGACGTATGGATGGCAAATAAATATATTGAAAAATGCTCAATATTATTAGTCATTAGGGAAATGTAAATTAAAACCATAATGAATATCACTTCATATTCACTAGAATGGCTGTAACAAAAAAGACAATACAAGTATTGGTGTTGATGGGGAGAAACTGTAATATTTATATATTGCTGATGGGAATGTAAAATGGTACAGCCACTTTGGAAAACAATTTGTCAGTTTTAAAGAGTTAAACACAAACCACACAACACTGCAATTTCACTCCTAGGAATCTATTCAAGAGAAGTGAAAACATGTACACCCAAAGACATGTATATGAATATTCATAGGCATCTTTCTTTTATTTATTTATTTATTTATTTTATTATACTTTATATTTCAGGGTACATGTGCACATTGTGCAGGTTAGTTACATATGTATACATGTGCCATGCTGGTGCGCTGCACCCATTAACTCGTCATCTAGCATTAGGTGTATCTCCCAATGCTATCCCTCCCCCCTCCCCCCACCCCACCACAGTCCCCAGAGTGTGATATTCCCCTTCCTGTGTCCATGTGATCTCATTGTTCAATTCCCACCTATGAGTGAGAATATGTGGTGTTTGGTTTTTTGTTCTTGCGATAGTTTACTGAGAATGATGATTTCCAATTTCATCCATGTCCCTACAAAGGACATGAACTCATCATTTTTTATGGCTGCATAGTATTCCATGGTGTATATGTGCCACATTTTCTGGATTAAGAAAATGTGGCTCATAGGCATCTTTCTTTCTCTCTTCCTCTTTTCTTTCTTTGAATCAGAGTCTCGCTCTGTTGCCTGGGCTGGGGGTGCAGTGGTGCGATCTTGGCTTACCGTAATCTCTGCCTCCCAGGCTCAAGCGATTCTCCTGCCTCAGCCTCCCGAGTAGCTGGGATTACAGGTGTGCGCCATCACATCCAGTTGATTTTTGTATTTTTTAGTAGAGAGAAGGTTTCTCTATGTTGGTCAAGCTGCTGTTGAACTCCTGGCCTCAAATTATCTGCCTGCCTCAGCCTCCCAAAGTGCTGGGATTACAGGCATGAGCCACTGCACCAGGCCTAACATTATTGTTAACAGACAAAAACTGGACACAATCCAAATTTCCATTGCCTAGTGAATAGGTGAACAAATTGTGGCGTATCCTTATGATGGAATATTATTACACAATAAAAAGGAATAAAATTTTGATACAGGCTATAACATGAATAAACCTCAAAAACATTATGCATAGTAAAAAAGCCAGATGCAAGAGACTATACAGAATGTATAATTTCATCTATATGAATAATCTGGAGAAGGTAAATTTACAGAGAAAAATGCAGCTCAGTGGTTGCATAGGGCTGGAGGTGGGAGTGAAGTGCTATAAATGGGCACAATAAAGAAACTTTTTGGGGTGACAGAAATGTATGACTGGACTATATTGAGGGTTACATAACCCCATACATTTATGAAAATAATTTAACTGTATACCTACAATGGGTAAATTTGACGATATGCAATAAATACTTAACTAAAGCTGTTAAAAATGTCAGTATAGCCAAGTTTAGAAGGAACATGCAATATATGAGACTTCTCTGTCAGACCATTCTTTATGATCATGGCTGAATCAGAATGTCCATAAACCACTGTCTTAGAGTGAGATGACCACAGCCGTATTATACACATGAGGGAAAAGAAAAGAATTGAGCATTTCTTGAACTCCTTTTATGTACTAGGTATTATGCTGGTTCATTTTCTTACATTGTCCTATTTAAACATCATGACAGCCAACAAAATTGAGAATTATTCCCATTTTGCAGATTTGGGCTCAGAGAAGTTGTTAGCATGGCAGAGCCATATTACTATGGGTTGAAGCTGGATCTCAAATCGTGAGACTTACTGAAAATAACAGCTACCACATGGCTATGCTGGATTATGTAGCATGAGCCTAGGAAAAGGAAAGCCCCAAGCCAAGAATAAAATCAGAAGCTACATTAACAGAAAGAGACTCCAATTTCCTGCTTGGGCAGGAAGGAAACAGCAACCACATTACTATAGAATCATTTGTCTTTCCAATAGATTTTTTAATCAATTAAAATTGGACTTATTTGATATCTTGTTATGATAGCAGAAAGTTTTTCAAAGTGAATTATCATATTATTACATGTGATTTGATCAATCAATCTAGGGTAAGTTAATAATATTCATCTTTAAGGATGTGTGTGTGTGTGTGTTTATGACTAGGGCATGCTTTCATGTTCATTAAGATAACATAATTCATGAATGAGTAATGAATAAACAATGACCAGATTCCTTTGGGGCTTAAGATTTTTTTACTTTAGAAGGGGGACATTAGGAAGTTCTTTTCAGGATACTGAATCCGCAGCTTATTAAATCACACTGATTTTCTACACATAGTGAAATGCTTAGGAAGGTACCAGAAAAGAATTGTTTATGGAAAACCTTGATAAGGTTCATTATCCATGAGATTTGTTGTGATTATGAAACACTACCTTTGAAAGGTCCAAACTTACCCACTTACCCCAGTTGAGTGCCATCTGCTCCCTGTGGGGATCCTGACTGACATGATTGGTATATGACAGGCTGTGTAACATGTACATACTCAAAAAATGGTGGTTACTGCTCAAAAACATCACAAGTGCTTCATAGATAACCCTAAATAATAGATAAATACAGTGATTATTATTGAGATATGTACCACCACTAAAAAATCAGTTAAGAGTTATACAGTAAAGTTGAAGATGAGCGTCATGGAAAACCTCCCCATAGAATAGCTTTATTCTCAAACATGTCTTTGGTTCTTATCATATTTCCTGGAACACTTCAGGCTTTACCAGTAGATGGGTTTAAGAACCCATCAAGAGACAGTTTAAAAACAGAGCAGAGGAAATGGAGTCCACTGTTTGATCTGCAACCTAACTTCAGACTTAGGGTTCACCAAGGCGTGAAATAAGTGGAGCATGAGGCTTCAACTACTCTTCTTATACCAGAGAGCAGGCATGGTGCACGTGTGGGGTGGCCCGAAGATACCCAAATGCTGTAGGATAACATTGATCTAAAGGGTCAATGTTACCAAACAATTCGAGTAAAAATACTGTAATATTAAACTGAGATTAGAATAGAAAATTCAAGAGATACTGGCCGGGGGCGGTGGCTCACGCCTGTAATCCCAGCACTTTGGGAGGCCGAGGCGGGAGGATCATGAGGTCAGGAGATCGAGACCATCCTGGCTCACACGGTGAAACCCCATCCCTACTAAAAATACAAAAATTAGCTGGGCATGGTGGCGGGTGCCTGTAGTCCCAGCTACTCGGGAGGCTGAGGCAGGAGAATGGTGTGAACCCGGGAGGCAGAGCTTGCAAGTGAGCCGAGATCACACCACTGCATTCCAGCCTGGGCGACAGAGCAAGATTCTGTCTCAAAAAAAAAAAAAAAAAAAAAAAGAAAGAAAGAAAAAGAAAATTCAAGAGATATTTGAAATTTTACATTTTTAAGTGTTTTTGGAATATCTGCAGTTCACCAATGGTGTAAATTCCCTCCTAGGTAAAGTCTGGTAAGCAGTGTGTGTGTGTGCACACCCGTGCACGCGCACGCATGCACTCATGTGGTTACACTGATGTGTCACAGTTTGGGTTTTAACAAGAAAATGAGCAGTGAGATGCACGGCATCACAATTCCAAGCTTCAGACAACAAAAATGGCAAGATCATGGATTCACTAGATTTAAGAGCCAGTTTGAGCTTTAGACAATGATAGTGGCAAGATCACAGATTTGTGAATTTATAGACTCCCCCATTTGCCCTGCATCCTTCCTTCCTCAGCCATTTTACAGGTGGGAGCACTGAGGCTTAGAGATGCAGTGAAATTCTTAGGGTCATCCATTACATCAGAGGCAGAGGAAGGGCAGGGAGCTGAGTTTCCTGTCTCCATGGGAGTTGGGTGGGTGTGTTTGTGGAGGGCTTCCTGAGTTGCACCCACTCTATATGCAAATCAAGACAGGAAATGGCAACAAGGAAGAGTGATAATGTAAAGCTTAAACCATGATTCTACCCAACATTGAGTGTTTTTGTGCTGGTCTTTGAATATTAGGAATATGGGATGAAATTCAATGAAAATGATAAAGTTAGTCGGTACAGGCTTGCAGAGAGTATAAAACTGAAAATGACTGTGTTAAATGCTTTTCTATTACTTGTTTTTTCCCCTAATCCCATCCAAATAATCACTTTTATCTCCTAAATATGCATTGTTAAGAATCCCCCAAAGTAATTATTAACAAGTGAGCTAGCCGGTGCTTGTAAATCATTTTACAAACACAAAAGGCTCTGCAAATGTTTATTCTCATTACTGAAACTAATTCAAAAATGGCATAATATAGTATTTCCAGATAATGCTTTTCAGCAATGCCCACTGTGCATGATAGGAAATGACACAGTTCATTCCTGAACTGTGGTTAAACCTATGAGGTGAGCTGAGAAAAATGCATTTTCCACTTTCCTGCGTCGAGACAACCAAAATGACCAGATAGGAGTCCTGCACTTCTTGGAGTTATTCTTTCAAGCCTGTGACTCATGGAATACATGCTGCTGTTGTATAAAATCCTTTAATGTTCATTAGGTCCTAAGAGCAAATCTTGAAAGAAGAATGAAGTGAGGCACCTTGCTTGGCATTAGAACTGACTGCGGACTTGCAGGATGTGTACTTGGCATCAAAGGGACAGGGAATAAGAGATCTTCCAATAATACTCTTTAAGGTTCCTTACACGCTCTGTGAACATCAGCCTCTAAAACAGAGATGCCTCTTATGTCTCAAAACAAAGTAGAACTTGTGTGTGTGTGTGTGTGTGTGTGTGTGTGTGTGTGTGTGTGTGTGTGTGTGTGTGTGTGTACTGGGGTCTGTATTAATTGTATTTTTTTTTTCTTTATTCTTACGCTGTGGCATCTGAGACCTTCTGCATCTGGGTAGGGGTTGACCCTTCCAGGGTTAGATAATTCCTAGAGATAGTAAACTTGTCTGCAAGCACACCTTTGATGTGCAAATCCACCAAACCAGAGTTCATATACCTCCCACCCCCCATCTCCTTTAATCAGTCTCTTGCAGTCCAGGACACTATCCCTCAGCCCTAATCACTCCAGGGCTAGGTACCTGGCAACCAGGGACAATCCCTATAGCCCAGAGCCCACTAAAATCATTCAAACTAAACCTGTCTACCATGGTTACCCTGCCTTACCCATTTCTTTTTATAAAAACCACAAAAAGGCTCTCTGCGTCCTCATTAAACCTGGTGCTTCCCCATGTGGCACTGCATGGTGTGCAGTACCTCCTCTTTCCAGGGATCTTTCTGAGTATAAACTTCTTCCTTCATGACAGTCATTTCCACGTCTGCAACTCTTACCACATCTGATGAAAACAAATCCCAGCTACATGTTTAAAAAGAGGTCCCTTACCCAGTTGCCGCCAAAGTAAAAAAACAGGGGTGGGGTGATAAACCTAATTCATCTGAACACATCCTCAATTCCCCTCTTTGTCTGGGACTCTTGCTGCAGGACTGGCTGTAGGTTGCCAGGCAACACCATCAGGTATCCTGCATACTGCCTACGGACATTAATCCGTCTCTTTCAGGTCTTATTTACTTACTCATTTTACATTCTTAAATGTGGTCAGGACCACCACCCACCCCCCCATACCAGCCACAGGGTATTCTTGCTTATTTAAACAAACATTTTGGAGGCTTTCAATGCTTGATAAATGATACAGTGAGCTATGGAGTAAGGGAAGGTGTGGACCAATGAAGTAGTCTACCGATTCTAACTATGCCATTAACACACTTCATTGAGGCCTCTTTGGCTCACTGCAATTTACCTGAACACTTAGGGGTAGAAATCAGCTGTTTCTATTTCTTCTTACTCTGACATTCCACTTTTCTCCACTCTGATTTTCAGATTTATCACTTCTATGTGATAGGAAGACTGTTTTAATAAAATGTGCTAATGGGATATGGTAATTACATTTATAATTGGGAAGAATGGGGAACAGATGTATGATTGTTAAAACTGGGATGGTCCAGGAGAAGAACGTCCCTCTGCCAGAAGAGTGTGTGTGTGTTGGGTTGAAGACGTATGATGGCCTGGCTCTCCCAAATGGAAATTGTCTTCAGTTTTTGATATTATGATATCATTCTAAGCAAAGAAGAACAGTGGGCCTGTGCCATATATGAGAAAACATAAAGAAATGCCCTGTGAGATATCAGGACCTGTGACAATTTTGGCCCAACATCAGCTGGAAAACCTTAAGCATGATGAGGGCATAATCTTCATGAGCTCCTCTGCTCCAAGTCATCTTCTATATAAACGTACTGCAGAAGGGAAAACCTATGCTTGCCATGCAAACACGGCTTCACAACAAGTCCCCTTAGCACCTCCTTCCAAAGGGACTGCCAACTCCAACCCCGTCTATACAGAAATTCTAGAGAACACGGCTTGACCTCCAAACCAAACTTCTGTCTACAGGATGTCAAAACATCAAGGTTGAAGGAGAAAGACTAAGCTCAACTGTTGGTTAATCTATCTGCCACTAAAGAGCTATTCTGTTTTTATTTCCCTACTGAAATAAATAAAAACAGTTTTTCTTATTTGAAGAGTGGCTTTACGGCTGCCAAGTCAACCAGGAGACAGTAATTGAGCACTAGCTGGCTGCAAGGTATCATCCAACATCTGAAGCCTTCATTTTCACTAAACTGTGAGCTTTATATAGTTTCCCCTTATTGTTCCTAGATTACACTGGCCATGAATCAAGCACTAACAAACTCATGAAAAAGTGTTCCTTCTCCCCACAGTTCAGATTTCCCCAATGGGAATTCATGTAAGACTGTCACCCCTGTCTGTCAGCTCAAAACAGCAAGTGTGGCAGGCAGATCTCTTGGAAAACCTATCCTAAACAAATAATCCAGAAGAATAAAATGCCACAGGCAGCCGATGGTCTTTGTAGTTTTTTATAATTATAAAAAACTATAAGCAGTTTAAATATTAAACAGTAGAAAGGTGGTTAAATAAAATGCCAGCATAGCATAGTGGTTATGAGCACAGCTGAGCACACGCCCATCTCTGTCACTCACAACTCTGTGTCCTTGGGCAGGTAGCCTAACCTCTCAGCCTTGGTTTCCTCACCTGTAACATGGGCATAATATGGTTGAGTGTGAAACGAATTTATAAATATTATGAGAATGAACTGCATTAATATTTATTATAATATTTATGTACCTGATACACAGGAAGCACTATGCAAGCATTTGATAAACAAAGTGGTACCTGTTCTAGAAGAAGAATTTTACAGCTTTTACAAATGATTATCAAGAAACAAGAAAAAAGTCCCATAAAATCACAAGCACTCTAGGTAAAATACGAATATGAAAATTCACCAGGGGACTAGATGAAATAAACATAGTTGTATTGGGTTGAGAGGATCTTCTGCTTTCCAGACATTCTGTATTGCTTTTGTAAGTCAAAGAAGTTTTGAGGAGGCTTGGAGAGGGTTAGAAGAGGAAGGCGCTGGAAGAAACATTCTTCTTGGGCCTCTGATTGAAACAAATCACTTGGTCCTTCTGGCAGAGCTGGGAGGGTTGTCTGCTCTACCCAGAGAGTTAATAGAATCCTACTAATAAAAACTATCTTCAAAGAGAAAGACAGATGAAGAGAGAGGTTTCATCAGCCAGAAGCCAGGAAGACAGTCTAAAGTCAGTGGGGCTGCCACCTCCTTGCTACCTGCTCCAATTCTCTCCAGTAGCGTGGCTCATCAGGGGAGGGCAGGAGCTCAGAGCATCCTGGCAGATTAGATGGCTGGACAAAGAGATCAAAGCATCTGAGACTTACAAGGTAGGGATGCATTACTCTCATTTGTCAGGGACTTGTGCACATTTAGTGAAATAAGTATCTCCAATAATGGGAAAGAGGTGTCAATACCAACATCAACACAAACTACCAATGTCAAGGCCAAACATTCCTTCCTTTCCTCATTCTCTGATCTCAGTATCTTATCAGCTTTCGCCTGGAGGGGTGCTTGTTCTGCAGTGTAAAGCAACATGAATACAGCAGTGTGCGCCCTCTGTGTTCATGTGGTCCCCACCACTCCTTTTGCTCTCTTCTTACAGTTCTTAAGACTAGAAAGAAACCTCAGAGATTGCCTCAGCCCACTGGCTCTCAAGACTGACCCATAGCCTACTGCTGAAGTGACTGAGAATCTCCCAGGGAACTTAAAGTTCCCTGGCCTTATGAAGTAGCAGTTCTGGGGTGGGGCCCAGGATTCTGCATTTTTAGTCTCCCCCCACCCCCAGGTAAATCTCAGTTATGTGTGAGAATCAGAAATCATCTAGATCATGTTTAGTGAGAGGAAGCGACGAGCCTGAAGCTTTCCCTCTTTCTTCTTTCAATCACTTTCTATTTTCTTCTCTTCTTTCACTGTACTTCGTCCATCTTCCTCTACATCTCTTAAAATCTGTCTCTTTTTCTGAGCTGGGATTTGCATTTTAACTACAAAAATGAAAACCCTCAGTTGGGGGAAAGAAGGCTGACAATCTATTTTTGCTAATAAACATGCTGGTGCTGTGTCAGCATGGTCCAATACCCTGACATCTGTCTCAGGCAGAGGGAAGTGTGCCTCAGCCACGCACACATCTGTCCTGGCAACTACAGCGAAGACACAAATGAAATACTCTGAATTAAATTTGCGTGAGCTATAAGCCTAATGAGCATTATTAGCGTATCTGCATGCATTTAAGAAAAAGCTACTGTTAGCCTGATATTGTTCGGACCTCCTTCAGAGACCAAGAGGATCTGAGAATTTAAGCTCAGACCTGGGCCTTGTTCTATTGTCTTGACTGGTTATCTGGGGACTAGACCACCACCATCCCCCCAACCATTAAGAAAGTGGGGATAGTTGATATCACTAGGGGGGCTATCATTCTCACTGGCTAGTACCCTCTATTCTTCCTTCTACCTGATGAGAAAATTGTCTGCAGAGATTCTATACTTGAGAATTAGCTAGACATGCTTTGCATTCTAACCTAATTTCTGACAGTCATGCTGGACACTCCCTCTATGTGTGCTCCTAATCCTTCTATGCCAGCTCTCAGCCCCACTGTCCATCAACAGCCCCCAAGTCCCCCCTGTCCTACTCTACCACTCACTGACACACGGGTTGCTTTGGATTAGGGATGTTCCTTTTCCAGCCTGTCCATCTCCCTACAAGGACTGGGACAGAGATCTGGACAAATATAAGGCTCAATGAAGACATCAGACTACTGCTTTTTATTAGTGTGTGTTTTTTTTTTTGGCAGCCTAGCAACCTGGTATTAATAGCTTAATACTTATGTGATACTTCGTTAGCCTGGCTAGTTGATATTTCGGGTCTGGGAACACAGGGAAAAACATGTGATTTCTTTGTGCATAAATATAAATCCCCATGAGGGTTCTAAGCCCCTTGACTCTGGTGTGTGTGTAATTCCTGTTTTAAGAATGCAAATGTTATTCTGCATTTAATGAACTCAAAAAAGCAAGGGCTCTGGGGGCAGATACTCCGAGATTTAAATCTTGGCTCCACCAATTTGACAGCTTTAACGATTCTTCTATTACTTCTGCTTTGTTTTTTGCCTGCCTTTGATATATAGGAAAATTCTTTAGAAAACTTAAACATGACTAAGAGAAAACCAAAACAAAAAAAGGGGGGTGCTTTTCCTAATGTTTGAACTAGACATTAAGGGTAGATATGCACTCAGACATTAGACATGCTAGAAACAGCAGGAATGAAAACAAGACAAGGATACTTTTTTTGGGGGGAAAATAGTCAATTTGGACAAGAGCCCTTCTCAGTTTTAAAGTTATCCGTCCAGCTCTTTCATGTTAGTAAGAGAGGTTGTTCCCCAATAGACAGTCCTGTTACCGTTTTTTGGCAACAAATTATTTTCATTCAGGGGGCCTTGGTGAACTGTGTACCCCACCAACATGTGGGTTTTCTTTTCTTCAGCGGGCCCAGCTGCAATGCTGATGTTGCTTATCCAACATCATAACTTCTGGCCTGTAATTACGTTTTCCCATGAAATTACAAGGCAAAGTAATGTAACCAAGTTGCCCAGAAGCCAGTGGTGGCCTTAACATTGCACTCACTATCTCCCTCCTGGCTCTCTCAATGTCCCACAGGATCAGGAAGAATCTGGACTGGAGGTTGGAACATCTTGGATTCCAAGCCTGGTTTTACCAAATAATGCTTTTGGGCAAGTCACTGCACACTTCTGCTCTTCTGAAAAGTAAGGAGGGCCTTTCTAGATAACAATAATAACAACTCAACCTGACAAGGGGCTTTATAGTTCACAAAATGCTCTCAGGATGTTTCATTTCATGCTGACTACTTGCCAGGTAGGCATATGAGTCATCAGCCTCTCCAATTACAGAGAATGAAACAGTGGGCCCAGGAGTTCCCTAATGGGCCTACCACCACATGCTAGACGATGGTGAGCAGGGAAGCTAAAGCTCTAGGTTCTCAGCTCCTTGCTCTCCTTACTTCTCCATCCCTCCCTCCAGAAAAGCTTTGCTCAAAGCCTCCTTCCAGATCTCAAATGCTATGGTTCTCAGGGTTCCGGGCAAACTTTTTCTAGTTTCTGCATAAAAAAATTTGGATAACTGATGTCAATCTCCAAACTTGCCCTTTTAATGAAATAAACATTTAAAAAAGTGCTTATGATCTAAATGTTAATAATATGTGACTGCAGCATCTCAAATTTTATTTAAATTCATCATTTTACCATAATTTGTTGTTACAAAAGTACCTAGTGGGGAGGGGATACTTCATAAATCAGTGGTGAAAGACTTCCGTTTACTTGATAGATAAACCCCAAGTACTTTTCTCCACTGTAACACTCCCAGGTTGGTGAAATTTGATTTCAGGCAAAGAATGTACATTATTCAGTTAGTGGTTCTGTTCTCATTAGATTGAAATGGCACATACATTAATTTCTTTATTAAAAATTCTTCAGGAAATAGGACATATGGATGCTTTAAATCTCATAAATCTGAAATTACCCCAATTGTGAATCAGCCAACATTATTAAAGGGAATGTGCTGGCCTACAATTTCCTGAACTTCACCATCTCAGTAGCAGCCATTTAATAAAAGCTAATGTGCATTTAGTTTTAATTAGTTTCCATCAGTAGTTACAGAAGTTTAAAAAATAATTAAGCAAACCAATAAAAATACATCTCAATATTGCTACTTGGGAATTAAATTGATTCTATCCTTCTGCAGATAAGAGAATTATCATAGGAGGCAAATCCCCCATCTCCAGAAATAATCATTATATTGGTATTTAAATTAAATTATCCGGAAAGAATCATATTTGAAGGAAGTAGAGAAAACATCCTGAGATGAGTCATCATGAGGTGATGGCTCTGGGACATAAGGCTGTGTGTTTTTGTATTCTCATAGTTTTCTTTAGCTTCTCAACCCTAAATTGCATTTTTTAAAAAGTAAATAACACAAAAATGGTGGCTTCACTTTTTATTACCTAATTCTTCTGAGAAGTTCTGAGAATTTTAGTGCCATGTTGCTATCAGCTCAAAATAACCCTAAGGTTGGAAGATTTCTACTGTACAATAAAGCTTTCTTCCTTATATTTAACACTATCACTTATTTTCTGCCTGAAGATGCCGTGCATTTTTTATAAGGATGAAAAATATAAATGCTTATTACCCAGAAAAGCACTTCTAGTAAATTAAATTCATTCAAATCACATCAAATAAGGCAAAGAGGACCAAACACTTACAGAGAGTGGTACATTAATATTCAGTCATAACAAATCTGAGACTTTCTGCACAGTAGCCTGGTCTATCTTTGGCAAAGGATGGCAGTGTTCCAGTTTGCAACATCTCCCCTTGGTGTACGGAAGCTGATTTCTATGTTGCCAGCTGCCACTGGATGCAATTTTAAAATTCAAGTTGACAACCTCTTAACTCTTCTGTTATACTCTAATTGAGGTGATGGTCTCTGCTTCCAATCTGAACTAGACAAGACACTGTGAGATAAGAGGAATCTTCAATATGTTAAAAAAAAACCCTCACACACAAGATGTAGGCATGTTCTACTTCAATTTCATGTAAGTGGAGAAAAAGAAAATGGACTTAAGCTGCACAAAGAATGCTCATGCTTGACGAGTTAGCCAGCAAAACCACTCAACATCCGTCTTAGGAAGGAACTAAAAATAAAGGGTCCTAGTTATGCTTGAAAGTTGGCACTGGCATAAGGCAGGAAGTTGGTGAGATGAATCCTTAAGATCCACTCGAATCCAGGAATGTGTATTTTATTATTAATCTTTGGTCTTGAGTGCATCTAATTCAATACTGGACAGTGTCCAAACCTCATTCATTTAATAGCCAACAATTTAATTCCCAAGCCTAACATAGAACCTGGCACATAGTAAGCCAACACTTGTCAAGGGCTTACTATGTGCCAGGCTCTGTGTTAGGCTTGGGAACAGATACAAAGAAGAAGGTTTCTACCCTTGAGGAGTGTGATAAAGGCTTTCATGGAGAGAAGTGCTAAATTTGATGAGAATTCAAAGGTAGGCATGATTGATTCATCTGTGGACTCAGTGTTGAAGAAAGTTGGAGGCTGGAT
This sequence comes from Homo sapiens, assembly GCF_000001405.40. Taxonomy (NCBI): domain Eukaryota; kingdom Metazoa; phylum Chordata; class Mammalia; order Primates; family Hominidae; genus Homo; species Homo sapiens. Next base: position 133,293,203 of record NC_000003.12, on the reverse strand, counting down.
CCTTTGATGAATGGCAGATGGTTTAAATGAATACTCTATCAATGAGAATTAACATTTCCTAAAAGGTATTTACTGGTAAACTAATTCCTCTTTGTGTCTCAGAAAAAGCAACTTGTCTTACAAGGTTAAATTATGCACAATTCTGTTCCCTATTGTTCTTAAGAATATTATGTTTATAGAATGTTACTCTTTTCTCTCAAAGCTCCATTCACCTAAGACATCACTTGTTATTCCTGGTCTCAGAAATAAAAGCATGCTAGTATACCAACTTTATAGATAGGGAAACTATGACCTAGAGAATGTCTCATTTGGCCAGTTATTTGGCTTAAGTTGGTGTAAGCAAGTGGCATATGAAATAGAACTGGAAGCCAAGCATCCTCTATCTCAAGCCCAGAGCTCTCTACAAAGCTTTGCTTGATCAAACTGCTAAGTTCAGAATTTTACAGCAGGGGAGTTGTGGCTAAGGCATCTGTGTCTCTGAGAAAAGGAGAGGGCTTTGGTGCTTTAGAGTTTGAAACAGATGCTTTAAAAAAAACTTTATAAAAACTGTCTCCAGGGTCCCCATAGCAGGCAGGCTCTGAAACAAAACCACACGTGCCTACCACCTAATTGCAGAACACTTGGGTGGGCTGTTCATGCCTGACACATTTTATAAGCAGCAGAATTCCAAGTTCCACGCATGTTGTTTATTTCTCTTATGATGACAATCAGTGCCAAAGCTAACAGCAAGCAAGAGGCAGACAATGGTAGGATCAAAGGAGAGCCTGAGATCAACCGAAACCCTGGCAATGGGCCTAATGAGGACTGGGCAAGGAAACCATCACTTTGTGAGGTAAAAACAATGGAACTGGAGGGGAGCTTAGCAGTGAAACCTTTATTTGAAGAAATCTTATGAAGAACCTTGATATTTATAAAACAACTTCTGTCCTACCTGAGCAGTTTTTTGGAGCACAGTTTGAAAACCTTGAACTTGCCACACATATTTCCTTATCCATACTTGCACACATGGCATTTTATATCCCATGTATAAAAAAAACATTCTCTTCTTCCCTTTACCAATCTGGTAAACTTCTACGCAACCATCAAGGTTCCCACAAAGTGTTTTCTAACAGAATCATCTGAGGCACTTCTTAAGAATACAAATTCATGGGCCTCATCCCAAATGTACTAAATCTAGATTTCTCTTGTTATCAAGCTCCTGAGGGGATGTATTCAGATGTGCAGTCAGGGTTGGGAACCACTGCAGATCCTGCTCAGCCAAATGATTTTCAACAAGACATGACTTACAGTGGGATTAACTCTGAATGTTTTGGGAAGGGAGGAAGGCAGTAGAGAGATCGTGTATGTCTGTACTTTGTCAAGAGTCTGGAGCTGAGAAAGGCCGAGATAGATGGGAAAGGAGTTGAAACGGCTCCAGGTACCTTGAGGAACCCTGCCTTCTGCATCTTAGGCAGCGTAATATAATGAGTTTGATGGCTTCATTAAGGACAAGTTCAGGGACATAGGACATCTAAGGGGCTTATAATAATAATAATAAAAATTCCACCTCTCTCTTGGATGAGGCTCAGAGAAATTCCATAGCTCCATGAAGGTTGCTGCTGTCCCATTAAAAAAAACTCACTGGTAGGCCTGGTGTGCTGGCTCACGCCTGTAATCCCAGCACTTTGGGAGCCCCAGGTGGGAGGATCATTTGAGCCCAGGAGTTTGAGACCAGCCTGGACAACACAGGGAGACCGTGTCTCTACAAAAAATAAAATTAGCTGGGTGTGGTGGTACATGCTTATGAGCCCAGCTACACGGGAGGCTGAGATGGGAGAACTGCTTGAGCCTGGGAGGTTGAGGCTGCAGTAAGCTGTGATGGTGCTACTGCCCTCCAGCCTGGGCAACAGAATGAGATCCTGTCTCAAAAATAGACAAACAAACGACAACAACAGAAAAAAAAAAACTCCACGGTGGTAATTTAAACTTGTTTTTTCTTCTGGTATTTCCATTTATATGGGCTTTATAGGGTGACAGAAAGAAAACAACCCACTGCTTGTTTTGATTGATGGTTCTAAATTGCTATTAGAACAACATTTCTGGGATTGACCTCTGTATGTTATACATGGCTTGATTAAAAAATTCTCCTTATGGCCCTTTGCTCCCATCTTCACAAAATATCTCCATACAAAAGCAAAATATTATTATATGAGCAGCTGGTGTTAACACAGTGTTGATCCCATTTAAAACATCTCACCATTTTAGTTAGTGTCATTTACCATCTGAAATCATAACATGACTTATTTGCATAAAATCTCTGGGCCCTTCTTCATTTCTCATTGCAAATGAGGTATAGGGCTGAGCTGGTGTGATTTTTATTACCTTTGTTCCCTCATGCTCCAAAGTTCAGGTTCCACTGGAAAAAGTGAAGGTAATCCACAGAGAAGAAAAAAAGTTACACGCCATTTTCTTTTGCTTTTTCATTAATCACTCTATCTGATGCAGGCTAGTTCCTGTCAGTTTCCTATTTGTTGTATAATTTAACTTCAGGGTTCTGTTTCTGAATCGGTTTTTTTGTTTATTTGTTTGTTTTGTTTTTTTTTTCAGATGCAGTTTCACTCTGTTGCTCAGGCTGGAATGTAGTGGCACTAACTTGGCTCACTGCAACCTCTGCCTTCTGGGTTCAAGTGATTCTCCTGCCTCAGCCTTCCCAGTAGCTGGAATTACAGGAGTGCACCACCATGCCCAGCTAAGTTTTGTATTTTTAGTAGAGCTGGGGTTTTGTCATGTTGGCTAGTCTGGTCTCAAACTCCTGACCTGAGATGATCCACTCAGCTTGGGCTCCCAAAATGCTGGGATTACAGGCGTAAGTCACTGCACCTGGCTGAATCAGCTTATGAAGAGAAGAACTAAGTCTCATAGAAAAGGGTTAGAAAACAAAAAAGAGAGAGATAGCTAAGTGGTTGATAGTTCTCTCACCTCTTTCAGGTCTTTACCAAATTGTCAGCTTAGGGACGCCTTCCCTGGTCACCTTGTCTAGAATTTCACCTCCTCCCTGCCCTCCACATTTCCTATCCCCTAGCCTGCTCTGTCCCCCTCTTCTTAGCACTTACCACAATCTAATAGGATGCATGCTTACTGTTAATCCTGTTTATTGTCTGTCTTTCCTCCCAGCAGACTCATCGGGGCAGGGACTCTGCTGTCTTGTTCACTGCTATATGCCCCCATCTGCACAGTGCTTGGAACATAGTAAGTGTTCAACATGTATTGGTTGAATGGATATGTGAATAAACACACATTGCTTCTAATGAGGGGGGTGAGCCAGCTTAGGGAACAAATACTTGGATGGTCCATGTTTTAGCTTCCACATCTTAGGTGGCATAACGTAATGCAGGGATTCCCAAATGTTTTTGATTCGAGTGGCCCTTGGTTAGGTCCAAAAAACTTAAAAATTTATAGCCTAACAACTTAGTAGCCGTTTGAAAAAAATTACATATAAAGTGAGAGAAAAATGATTTCATTCTTAAATCTGCCCTTACTTCCTAATGGGATATGTATACCTAAAGGGCACTACACTACTTTTCAAACCTCACAGTCGGATTGCACACCATTACCCACAGTTCCTGTTCCACATTGATTTTCACATGGTGCTTGCCCTCAATGACAAGTGCTGAAAACCCAGCTTGCCAAAGAAATGACATCATCAAAAGGAAGGTAGTGAGATCTAATGTGGAAACTGTGAATTTGAGCTAGTATGGTAGTTCACGTGGTGTCTGACTGATGTCGAGTACTGCTGTGCTTCCATCCACAGTCAGTTCACTGTAGTACCCTAGGGCACTTTGGTGCTGTTTCATAACCTTGAGTACAGTGGCTGAATGCAGATTCTCTGAAATTGTGTGAACTTGGGCAAATTTTCCCATCTATAAGAAAGTGACAAGAATAATATCTACCTCAAAGTTTTGGTTATTCTTTTTATTATGGAGAAATTTCAAACGTACATAAAAGTGTGCAGGATAAAATGATGGACCCCCAAATCCCATCCCCAAGCCCCAAGAACCATTAAATCATGGCCAACCCTGTTCCAAACATACTTCTATGCTCCACTCCCCATAGTTAGGACATAAATTCCAGATCTCATCTGGAAATATTTCTATATTTAAAATATGTAAAAATTACTATTACTATATGGGGACTCACATGGTGCCTCATGGCTGTAATCCCAGCACTTTGGGAGGCCGAGGCAAGCAGATCACTTGAGGTCAGGAGTTTGAGACCAGCCTGGCCAACATGGTGAAACCCCATCTCTACTAAAAACACAAAAATTAGCCAGGTGTGGTGGCACACACCCGTAGTCCCAGCTAGTTGGGAGGCTGAGACAGGAAAATTGCTTAAACAGGAGATGGAGGACAGAGAGCTGAGATTGCACCACTGCACTCCAGCCTGGATGACAGAGCAAGATTCCATCTCAAAAAACCCCCAAATTATTATATGTAAAAATACCTCTTAATGAATTAATATACATAAAGCATTAAGCACAGTGCTGAGCATCCTAAAGTGTTAGGTATTATATATAAACACTCAATGCCTCCTCTGCAGGGAAGCATCATCAGACAGGTAGGAGGTGGAGTGTTTCATGTGATTTTCCACAACATAAAGGTACACCCATGATCACAGGGAACAGGACTGCTGCAAATGCACGTACCACTAGCGTATTTGAGCAAACATTCTCTCCACAAGGAACTTCTATTCACCCCCCCATGGAGAACACATTATGTTCTAAAGGCATCCGATTTAAAGAATACATATAAACAACCAAGTCACATCAAGCTTGGTCTGATTTCTTTGTTCTGGGTAGAAATATTCTTTGGGTGAGGGAAAGCTTAAGGCCACATCCATCTATCTTAACTCCTGCTGCTTTGGATGCAGTGAGGTTTTACTTAATTAACTGCATCAGAATGCTGCTTATCTGTTATAGCACAAATTCAGAAGTATTAGGAAAAATCAGTTTAGGGCAGGAGGTTGAACTTTCCTGAAACTGTCCTGCATACACATTTGATTGTGAGGAAGGTGGAGCTACTAATTTATCTAGTTGTTCAGGCATGAGGTGTATAAATGACCATGCGGGCAAGAAACAAATGCTCTTTTTTATTAACAATTTCACATAATTCTCCCTTCTATCCTGGGGCTTGATTAAAATGCAACTGAAATTGTCCCTCTTTTGGGATCTCCAGGTCCATCATGCTGAACCCAGCCTAAGGCTCCCAGTGAGCAAGGGATGACGTTGGGAACATAAAGTATATCTTTGATTTTTATGCTACAGCAGCAAAATTCTCCATTCAGTGCTTCTGAATTTGCTTGCTCTTGAACCTAAGTGATTATCTGTGTTCAACAAAGTTAAACAAATTATTGATCTATATATTTTTATTTTGAGAGTGTTTGGTAACCAATCTAAAAGAGGCCCTAACTAAAAACTTTTTTGGTTTTATTTAGTTTAAGAGCAAATTTTAAAATTAAACCATCTATAGCAAACATCTATTTGTTTTAGGTGATAAGTATATCTTAGAAGATGTTTTGAAATCTTATCAACATATCTTCTCTCAGTGTTCATTTTATCATCTACCATCATTATATTGTAATTTCTATCTAGCACCTCCCAGAGACAACTGACAATCCCATACAAAGGAGCAAGCAAAAACATTTTTTGGCAAACAGAATGAACTGGCTAGAAGTAACTCTATTAACCTCCAGGACAACCTACAGAAGAGAGGGTTGGGATTCAATAAAATCACATTTGTCAGTAGCTTGTTCAGGGAGTAGATACGCATGATATACTGCATTAGATACTTGACTAATCCATGGTGCTTTGTTTAAACCCAGTTTTTACTGGGTTAATAGAATCATTAACTGAGGTCACTCATACCCATAGATATACTCAACCTTGATCCTTTTTTTAAAAGGTTTTATAAGTAAGGTTTGGGAAGAATTTTAATCCATATTCTTTATAAGTGATCTGCTCATTAGCCCTAAACCTCACTATATAAAAATGTCTGGAGCAGGTGAGTTATTAAGAATACCAAAAACCATCTTGCCAGCCAGCCACAGCCTCAATTCTAGTAGCACCAAGGCAGGTCTTTGAGGGACCTGAGCCTCCTACTTGTCCAAGCTCCCTGCCTGTTTTTACAGCAAAGAAGAGCACGGGATTCAACTGTTGGAAGCGGAAAAATAGAGAATACTCAAATGTGGGTATAAACTAGTTGCAAATCTAAGAAAATAGGGTTAGAGAAGCAGATAGCAGAAAGAGACTACCTAAAAAAATCAAACCAATCCAACTCATATTGGTCTGTTTTCTGCTTTCCTGATAAGAGAAGTTTTTTTAGTTACTAAGGCAGTGGGGATCTAGAGATAGGATCTATGTCAGTGTTCAGTGGATATACAGGTGTGCTCAGGACCATTTAGTGGCCAACGGCCCAGATATTTCACTACTGTTTTGTTCCCCTTGCTATTATACTATGTAGCCCAAGGTTCATAGAGGTAGGAACATGTAAATCACATTTGAGAATTTTCAGAATTGTTGAAAAGCTGAGTATGGGCCTGGTGCAGTGGCTCATAGCTGTAATACCAGCAATCTGGGAGGCCAAGGCGGGAAGATTGCTTGAGCCTAGGAGTTTGAGGCCTGCCTAGGCAACATAGTGAGAGTCCCATCTCTACAAAAAAAAATTTTTAATTAGCTGAGTGTGATGGCATGTGCCTGTAGTCCTGGCTACTTGGGAGGCTGAGGTGGGAGGGTCCCTTGGGCCCAGGAGTTCAAGGTTACAGTGAGCTATGAAGACACCACTCTACACCAGCCTGAGCAGCAGAGTGAGACCTTGTTTCTAAAAAAAAAATAAATAAATAAAAGCTGGGTGTGGTAAATTAGAGATGACCACAGATTCTTTGCTGCTTCTCCCAATTATGTGTTTGTTCTATTTCTACAGGTTTGTGTGGCTCAGAAGAAGAGAGTTTTATCACTTTACATCATCCCATTGAGATACTATAGAAGGAGTTTATTGAAAATTTATGGGGTTCCACTCTGGAGGTAATGTTTGTCTTGATGTTTGATATTTCATTTATTAATTCAACGCACATTTACGGAAAACCTATTGTGTTCTGTCACACAAGTGACCAAATGCTTAGGGAATGATGAGGTAGTTGTGAAAGTCTTCATGTGTGTGCTATAACTGGAAATATTATTGGAGGGGACACCATTGGGTCAAGATAGCTTCGTAAGTTCATGTCATGAGGTGCCCCCTCCACCTCAAACACATAGCAATGCCAGTTATAATACAAAAATAGAAAACTAAAAAGATATGACTGGACTGCAAAACAAGATAAACATATCCAAGGGCCAGAACGAACAGAAAGGCAAAGCAGTGATGGGGGCTGAAGCAGCTGGGCGCCCAGTCTGGAGGCAGGCAGGCAGTGATGGTGGTCTAGCTCTTGCAGGAAAAAGGGACTAAAGTGACTCATAAAAACTAGGGGATCGGGATTAGGCTCATGGCCTCATGTTTGGGGCTAAGATAGGGCTCTTTTGCTTGAAAAAGTAGAGTAAAAAAATGTGCCATTGCTTGCTACTGCTAGGGGCTATAGCTTTTAGCAAGTGGTAGGTCTACAAAAGAAGAACAAAGACACGGTCTGATCAGAAACTGAACCAAGCTGCCTGTGCGTGCTTCAATATTAACAACGTCTCTCTGAGGCAAGAGCTTCAAAACACCATTTAAAGACATAATTCTAGACTGCTGTCCCAGTGGAGAATACTGAAAACCACTAAATAGGAAGGGTGGACTTCCTTCCCAACTCCGCTTCCCCCAGCCACAGAAAAAATAAATTATCTTCCACTTAAAATGAGCTTGAAAATCAAAATTCTAAAACACAAGAGGAAACCTAATACTAACAAAATCAGCGATTGCTTTTAAAATTTATTCTGCGTCTGTGTTATTTAATATGGTAGCCACTAGCCTTATGGATGATTTACATTTAAATAAAAATTAATTAAAATCAAATGAAATTCAAGGGCTCAATAGCCACCATATTGGACAGTGCAGATATAATTTATTTTATTGCACAGCACTGTAGATGAAATATATTTTACAAAACAATTCAGCAAGGATTTTAAAACAAATTTATGATGCTCAAAAGATAAATGAAGAAATATCTTCCACTTGAAAAAAGAAATTATAAAACAAAGAATGCCAAAATGAGGCAAGAACAAATAAATAAGAAAGCGTTGGTAAACATACTCATCAAAGTAAAAAAAAACAAAAAACAAAAAACTTGAAACATGGAATAAGCCTTAGGTAGTGATTCAAGAGAAGACAAAACTGAAGAATTAATCCAGGATGTAGCACAAAAAGAAAAACTGAAATGATCTTGCAAAAACTAGTTGAGAAGGAGGGTTGTAGATAATTCTTGGTTTGAATAAGATAGTGTTTTGTCATTAATCCGGGATGGTTTGAACAACAGAGGCAGCAATTCAGAAAAATAATATGCAAAGAAGAGAAGAAAGCCGTTTTTTGGAAGAGGTAAACTCAAAACAGCTGGCTGATCACCAAACAGTTCTTAGTCACAGCAGCCATGGGAGCTGGGATTCATCATTTCCAGGGATGTGCTGGCTGTGACCTTTCAGGCTCCTATCCTATGCAAAGAGGACAAGGTAGGAATGTCAGCCATTGTGTAGTGAAGGTGGCCATTTGAAGACAGACTGAAGGAACAAGGAGAATCTGTTGTTGGTGCTTAGAAACTAGTTTGCCTGAGAGAGGTAGGCCCCCAGGTGGGAGGCCTAAGCACTGCTAGCCCCTTGAACAAACGGCCCTTTCTATGTATAAATTACTTAGGACTCTGGGAAGTATGAGACTTTCAACAGAGGGTGTGAAGGTGGAGGAAAGGGCTAACCCTGCAGAATCCAGCATGATTCCACCTCTCTGACAGAGACTGAAGGTAGTGTCAAGAGCTGAGCAATAGAAATGGCTGGAACATGACATGCCCTGCAGGGGGATATATGCTGCCTCTTCCTGCTGTCTTGGAGCTGGTGACTAAATAGAGGAGCCCAAACAGAAGGATGAGAAAGACATAGCTGGCTGCAGGGCAAGCTACACCCTCCTCTGACCCTGAAGCACCATGCAATCTCTAATAGCCCAGTGGTCAAGAAGACTTCCTGTCAGAATGCTTTAGAACTGTGCTTTCCAGTATGGTAGCCACTAGGCACATGTGACGACTGAGTGCTTAAAATGTGGCTTGTCCACGTTTGCTACCTGGAAACATTCTGCACAAGTCTTGCCTCTTACATCTCTTGGTTCAGAAATGCTATTGCTGAGTTTTCTGAGTATCTGAGAGACACTAAATACGTGGCATATGAATTATAATTTTCAAAAACACAGACAGCAACACCAGACACCAACTACAATTTTATCTTTCTTTGAAATTTCAAAGTTCGCATGCGCTATCTCACTGCCATTGTTAGAAACATCAGTTATCAGCACACAGTACTATAATTGCTGAAGGTGTAAGAAATTAAGCTTCATCTGGACTGACCCTATGACAGAGGCTTGAAAGGTGTTTTTGGAAGAGTTCCCTGATTCAGTCTCTTATTTGTCTCACTTTCAAAAAGCAGACTATAGAGGAAAACTGCTAACTTTCTGGTTGCTCAGATTCTGAAAAAATAGCACTTTCCTGTAATTAAATTGTAAGGAGTTAATTGTAATTAAATTGCACAGCATATGAGAAAATCTGTCACTTCTCAGAATTAGCTCTGAGAATAAAACTGAAATGACAGGGTAATTAAGACCTGAAATGCAGAGGTTTTCAGATGGTTCTTGTCCAGGATGGAATACATGGTTATTTCCTGAAATCTTCGTTGCATTATTTTCCCTCACACTGGTAGATAATCAGAAAGATTACCACACCTCCATGCATAGGATGCTGGGTTATTAATCTGGGGAAGAAATTTTTTCTCTCCCTTTTATTTGCTTAAATCCAGAGGTAGATATAAACCACCGCCACCTCACTCTTTACAAAAATCCTATTTAAAAATATTTTTAAATGGCATAAATAATTATATTTTTAACATTTAAAATCTAAGTAATGCAGATAAGACAAAAATTCTCACCACTCTTGCTACCCCTCATCTACTCTGCTGCCCAGAGTAAACTGTTGCTACCTATTTGTGTGACCTTCCTGAGTTTTCTTGTTTACACACATACGTGTCTACACTAAGATAAGCCTTCACACAAGTAACACCATGCATTGGTTTTCATTTATCCATATGTTTTGGAAAACGTTCCATGTTAATACCAATGAACCTTGCTCTTTTTAACTGCTCCTTAGTAGTCCCTTAAATAGTGGTACTTTTTTTTTAAAATCAAATAATTTCTTTCTTTATGAGCATTTACGGGGCATTATGCCCCACTTTTCATTATTACAAACAATGCTGCAATGTACTTCACCTTTCATAAAGAGGCATGGAGACAGGGAGTAAATACATTTTTAACTTTACAAAAAACAGAAGGAGAAATAAAATTATGATGGGCAAATGGAGAAGCACAATAGCAAAACAATGGCGTGTTTTCAACTGGTGCCAGGTACAGGGGATTCTTCTTGGGTACCACCTGAAAACTTGAATTAAACATCCATGAATTAAAATGACAAGCTGAAGAAAGTGTTCTAAGCCCACCAGAGATGAAGAGTTTACGCAAAGATGTAAGAAACAAGATGACTGTGTAAAGAAACATGGATATGTTGTGGTGGGAGAAGAATGTAAATGAGACTGTGATCCTGTATCTCTGGAATCCAGCAGGGAGCTCCATGTAGCTTTAAATACAACTAGGAAAACCTGGGAAGGAGAGCCTTGTAAAGCCGTTTTAGAGTCCCTTTTGATTCTTATTTCCTTAATTACTCTCTTACCTCAAAGAAAAGCAGCAAAAGTACGTTTGGCAGAAAGGCCTGTGGCCAAGAAAACTCAGCTGGAGTCAAAATCAAAATTTTTCTAAAAATACTCTTTTGTCTTTGTCTTATTTTATTTTATTTATTTTTTTTTGAGACGGAGTCTCGCTCTGTCGCCCAGGCTGGAGTACAGTGGTGTGATCTCGGCTCACTGCAAGCTCCGCCTCCCAGGTTCACACCATTCTCCTGCCTCAGCCTCCCGAGTAGCTGGGACTACAGGTGCCTGCCACCATGCCCAGCTAATTTTTTGTATTTTTAGTAGAGACGGAGTTTCACCGTGTTAGCCAGGATGGTCTCGATCTCCTGACCTCATGATCCGCCCACCTTGGCCTCCCAAAGTGCTGGGATTACAGGCTTGAGCCACCAAGCCCAGCCTGTCCTTGTCTATCTTTTGGGATAAGCCATCATGTGCTGGGATATTCAACCGATTTAGTCTTACTAGTAGAAGGAGTCATAGGGATGATCAAACCCACCCTCTTACGCAGTAGAGAAGGTAACCAAAGCCCAGAGAGGGAAAGTGACTTGGGCAATGTCACAGAGCTGCTTAGCAGCAGAGGCAAGACCAGGAGAAATGCTACCCTGAACCAGCCCTCCGCTGCTCACTGTAGCATGCCTCATTATCACCACCCAGTGTGCCAGCTGCCGTTGTACTTCTGCCTCAAAGTACCACCTCTGCTCATCACTTTTTTAGCCACGTGACGTAACAGTTTTTGTTTAAACTAAACTACGCTGTCCTTGGTTACAATGCAAAGAAAAAGATGCTTAACAGCTATAATTGTACTTAGCTGTGTATGGTGTCTACCACAAAGGTTAACTTTTATCTGACGTTATAACTCTGCATACTCTTGAAGCCTGGTTTTTTGGTGAAACCACATACACACACCTGTGTGTGCACACCCTATTTTTTCTAAAGTGGTTATTTATTTTCCCATCAAAACCAAATTTAGAAACTCCAACAGAATGACCAGGCCCTGGCTCTCATTTTCCCGCTTTGATCTGACTATATTTAAACATGGGAACCCTCTGATTCCCATCCTCTCTTTTTTTGCCCTGCAGTTTAAACATTATTTACTCATTTCATTCAAGACTGTATTTCCTTCGTTGTGTTTGACTCTGGTAGACTGCAAAAAGGACTGCAGTTCTTCCCTTCATAGTATTTATGCCCCTTACAATGTGACTCTGAAATTCTTTCCCATCAAGAGGTGAAGTTTATTTTCCCATTCCTTGAATATAGGCTTGCCTTGTGACTTGCTTTGGTCAACAGAATATGGTAGAAGTGACAGTGTGAAAGCTTTAAGGTTGGACCTCAAGAAGTCTCATATATTTCCATCTTTATTCTCTGGGACACCTGTTCAGCCTCCACGTGAATAAGTTTGAGCTAGCCTGCTGTACCATGTGAAACCATGTGGATAAAGTTAAGTAGTCTCAAATGAGGTCATCTGAGACCAGCCATCCCTGCAATTCACTTGGCAGCTGAGCACAGAGGCATGAGTGAACCTAGTCAAAACCAGAAGGACTACCTTGCTGAATCTGGTCCAGGTTGCTGGCTTGTAGAACTGTAAGCCAAATAAATGATGGTTGTTTTAAGCCACTAAGTTTTTGGGGGCATTGTTATGTAGGAAAAGCTAACTGATATAGATCCCTTTATTTGTGTCCACAGGAATGTTAATTAAATCGGGCCTCACAGAGCAAATGGATTACGTTTCCTACTTAGTTCTGTACATTATCTACATGAGTAATGAAAATTTAGAATAAAAATTTTCTTGAAGGGAATGGGAAAATGGGAAAAACTGATGAACATTTGATTTTCACTTTCCCCCTACACTCAGCCCACCCCAACATCTACCGCCTGTGATTAAGGAAATAAATAGAAATGCACAGGATATAGAGCATGCCATTAATCAATGCTAGGGTAGTAAGACAAGAAGCAGAAAATTTTCTCTTTACACAAAACCATACAAAATATATATTGGGGAAAATCATCTGGGGACAGGGTGAAAACCGTGTAATTTTTCCTACATGTTGACTTTCCTGATTTTTGCTGCACTGTTTCTTTCCCTCTGTCTTGGAGTCTATCTCAGATAGGCAGCATCTCGTCTGCCCTGCTTCAGACTCCTCAGCAGGGGAGAAGAAACACCACCTCACCTGACTCCTCTGACTGGGGATCTTTTAAATCCTTCTTAAGCTCTAGACACTAACTTTTGGGGCTTCCTTCATGCCACATTTAACATATTAAAATGTGCCCACATCTCAAAATTTAATATAATCTACACAGAACTCTTAAGGGGCAACTTGCACTTGACTAGTTGGCATAATATTATATTTTACATCCAGCTAATTACACATTTTAGTATCTACTTTGCAGTTTCCTTTTTGTATCCTGGAGTCATTCTGTTGTTAATGTTCAGGTCTGAAACATTTTCATAGGCCCTGACAAGCTCATAGATTCTATTCTGGGCTTTGTGCCTGTAAGTGCTTAACAGGAAAGTTACCCTGACCTAGTTAATCAAACAACAGGCATTTACTGAGCACCTAATATCTATAAAGTGCTGTGCTGGAGTCTTCATCAGATTCATTCATTAGGCAGCCATCTACCATGTCCAGGCACTGAGTGTGGTACATGGCTGCTGGGAATGAAGATAAAGTCCCCTCAATTCCTGCCTTTGAGGGGTCTGCCTTAGCCAACCAAGGGATGGCCCGAAGTAGAGCAAATTCAAGAAACTGTGGAGTTACGAGAGGCCCCAGAATATTTTCCTTTAACCTACCCAAGGGTGAGCAGGGTCATTTAGGGTCATTACTATCTGCCACTTCCGGCAGCAAAGGGAGACCGGACAGGCTGTCCTAATTCTTACTTGCAAGTGACCTTGGGTTATGTCTTTACATTCCTTTCTCATCAAAACTAGGATGGTCTCATGATAGACATGGTGGTCTCCAGACCCAGACAGAAAGCAGGACTTGGGAGTAACAGGTGTCTCAAAACTCATAGCTGATTGTCGTACACCACAGTGATGATGGGGAGGTAGAACAGAGGATTTCGTCCATGCACGTAGACCTGTGCTGAGGCAGAAGTTGTGTCTAAGTGCAAGTGCTTACTTTGACACAGGGTGTTTTAACATCCACTACAGACTAGGCTGGTTTGCCCAACCCTCACAAGATACACTCGATAGTCTGAATAGGCAAAACACTAGGCCTTGAAGGGCCTGGTTTTAAGTAAGCCCCCTTAGGCCTCTTTAAAGGCGCCACCTCAAGAATCAACTCAAGGGTGGTGTTTTACCTCAGAGCTCCTCAAACTTTCATGTATGTCCTCAAACTTTTCATGAATGCTCCGGACAATTTACATGTTGTTAAAATGTAAATTCTAATTCATTAGGTCTGGGTGGGGCCTGAGAGTCTGCATTATTCGTTTTATCCCTGGTGATGTCAATGCTGAACTACACTGGGTAGCTAGGCTGTACATTACATAGCCCCTTACAGTTTACCAATTGTCTCCATGTATAGTCACGTGCCACATAAGGACATTTTGGTCAGTGAAGGACTGATATATGATGGTGGTAACATAAGATTATAATATTGGATTTTCATCGTACCTTTTCTATGTTTAGATATGTTTAGACATACAAATATTTACCATTGTGTTATAATTGCCTATAGTATTCAGTACAGTAACATGCCGTACAGGTTTGTAGCCTAGGAGCAATAGGCTATTCCATAGAGCGTAGGTGTGTAGTATACTGTACCATTTAGGTCTGTGTAAATACACTCTACAATGTTCACATAATGGTGTTAGCATGATGAAATCACCTACACACATTTCTCAGAACATATCCTGTTGTGAAGCAATGCAGCACTGTACTTTATCTCACTTGATTAATCCACCAACTATATGGAACACCAGTGTCCCCATTTTACAAATAAAGCAATAGGCTTGGAATGGACTGCTTTAAAATCACCAGCTACTAAGTGGCAGAGCCAGCATTCTAATTCAAGTCTTTTGATTTCTAGTTCAGCATCATTGCTATTCACTCACAGCTCCAGACATTTTTTTCTCTTTACTTTTACTTCCCATGTCTTGTGAGGTCATTTGTCTGAAGGTTAAAGTCCAGAGTTAATTCCATCCTTTTCAAAACTTTTAAGCCTATAACCTGACCTTGCTTCTCATGCCGTGTGGCAGCTGTGGAAGAAAAGATTTTCAAAAGCATTCTTGAAAAGGCTTGCCGTAGTTTTGTTCAAAGTGATTATGCCACTAGGAAATGAATCATGCTTGGAAATACTGCTTGAAGTTGCCAGCTGAATAGGCTTTCCACTGGGGTTTGCAATAAGAATGTTTCAAATGGGGCAGAGCCTGAGTCTCTGGTCCACAGATTTGGTGACAGATTGCTGCTCCTTGCACCTGATGAAAATACAAGACTCTGGAGCCATCAAGTCATGGTCTTTCTATGGAAACAAAGACATATTTAATTTTGGGGAAATATCTGTTGCATGGCACTCAGCAAGGTGCCTTGCAAACATCACCTCCAATCTCAGCAGAAAGGCTGTGAGGTAAGTTACAGTGCCCCATTTTACAGATTAGGAAACTAAGGCTCAGCAAGGTTAAATAGAACAATGCGGTGCCCGGCGGAATGCCAGGGCTGACTGAGTCTGGTGCCTGGGCTCTTACCACTACACCAAATCCTGAAACTGAAAGTCAGTGAAGTTCTAATTTGGGCAGCTCCTGATTCAGGGAGTCAGGGATCCTCACCTCTCCCATGGCTATCCCTTTGGAACATCTATCTTTGGATGGTGTCATGCTGTTATTCTTTTATCTTTTATTTAAACAGTTTATAGAAAAGTTACAAGAATAGTATAATAAACTTTTGTACTCTTTACAGAGATTTACTAATACGTAACTTTTTGCCACATTTTAAAGTGGATATGCATGACTGTATTTTTTTTTCTGAGCCATTTGAAACTATAAAGAAATCTTTTACCCTTAAAAACTAGGAACAAAGGCATTCTCTTACATAACCACGGTACAATTATGATCAGAAACTTTAACAATTACAAAACTACTGTCTAATAAATGACCTATATTCAAATTTTACCAATTGTCTCAATAATGTCCTTTATAGGAACTTTTTTTTTTTCTGGTCCAGAGTTCGATCTAAGAACACATACTGCATTTGCTTGTCATGTCCTTTTAGTCTCCTTTGATCTGAAACAGTTTCAGTCAGGTCACTGCTCTTGATCCAGCACCTCACACGTCATTAGAAAGGGTGGCACTAAAGTTTGAGGGACCCTGAGTGTACCCCACTGAATGAACAGATATCATGTCATCCTCTCCATAGTCTGTCAAATTTGCCACCTGCTTCTGCTGACTCTCTCTGGGACACATAAAGCCCCATCTTGGCAAGGAATGCTGGGAATGACGCTGTTTACAGAAGCCGAAGCCACTTTTGATGCAGGCTCTGAGCCTCCCCAGCCCTGCACCTGGGTGAGCCAGATGGTTCTTAAAGCAGCACTTCCTCTTGGCACCTCTTAATTTCTGAGGCATTTAGAGAAAGAGTTATGCTCTCAACAAACGCCCACCACTTCCCACCCCATATTTAAAAAAATAGAGATAGTTCCTAGTTTACTCTCTTCGGTTTTCTTTCTGGAATCCTTGATAGAGATTAAGAAACCCCCAAATCAGGGGCTACATAATTGGTATGTGGCTATGACCTGACAAGATTCTTAAGGGCTTTAAGACAGTCAATTAAGAACACCTGTTAGATTAGCCTTCTGCCATGATCAAGGCCCACATCAGGATTGCAAATGCCATACCTGTAGCTGAATTCTTTGTCATTCCTAATTTTTTGGATTCTAGAATCAAAACAACCAGATTTCCATTCTCCTTAACCATCCAGCCTGCTTTATATGGTCTTTCTGAGCAAACGTGATACAAGATGAGAAAGTCTTCCCTTACACTCCCTTGGCTGGCCCCACAAGAATCAGTAACCACTTGCTGAAATGGCTTTTAACATGGTAGAGGTGCCAGAGTTAAAACAAAATGCAGGACACCCAGTAAAATTTGAATTTTATATGAAATTCAAATATTGTATGGGACATGTTTACACTTAAAATGTGTTTGCTATTTATCTTAATTTCAAATTTACCTGGGCATCCTATATTTAATCTAGCAATCCTAAGTCTCCATGGCTCCACGGGTCACCCTTTCAGCTTGCTGGAGACAATTACCACTACTAAGAGTCAAAACAAGGGAGATGATTTAACCAGAATGCCACGTCCATGGCTAGTCAAAGGACAACTGCACTGTCATAGTAATGCTAGGCCAATTTTTGACAAATAAAGCAACTAAGCAAATACTGAACCTAATACTGAACAGTTTTTGTGATACAGACTCACAATCCTTTATCTGCAATTTCAAAAGGCAAATCCTCTGAAAAATGAAAGTTTTTTTTTCCTGTTACTCACTTGGCAGCAATACCCAACCTATATAAAGCTATTTATTGTCTTTCTTTATCTCAGTGTGTATTGTCATACTTTTTGCTACAGAAATATTTATTTGTTTGATCATGGAGTGCTGCTCCAGATCCCCCTGGGGTATTAATAAATAATAAATACTGTATTTCATTTTAAAACATAAAAAATTCTAAATTATCCATCTAACCTCAAGAGTTGCAAGTAACGGATTGGGACATACACAAAAAAATTAATAGCCAGAAAAGAGTCCAGGCTGCATTATCCAATACAGTAGCCATCAGCCACATGTGGCCAAACTGAACCTTTGAAATGTGTCTAGTCTGAACTTAAATGCAATGTAAGTGTAAAATACACATTGAATTTCAAAAACTTAATATGGAAAATGTATGTGAAAAATCCAATTACATGTTAAAATAATATTTTGCATATACTGGTTAAATAAAATATATTATTAAAATCAATTTTACTTGCTTTTTATTTTTAATGTTGCTAAAATTCAGAAAATTAAGAATTACATATGTGATTCCTATTATATTTCTAGTGGACAGTACTGCTTTTAAAGAGTATCTAAGGAAAAAACTCCCATTTTCAATTGGGGAAACTAGATAAGAAAGTTACTGGGGTCATGTGGGCAGTTAGTTGTAGAGTCAGAGCTAAACCTTTAGTCTTCTGACTCCTGATCTAGCGCTCTTTCCCCTCCCCCATTAAAATAATTAAGTCCTCTATACTTGGTGTTGGAATTCTAAGACCACTTTTAGAGTTTAATTGAGTATTTATGGTTTTTGCTGATGGAAATAGGAAAATCAATCAATCAACTTGGAACCAATGGTTTTGAGATATTTCTTAGCAGATCTAAGAGCAGTGGACTTCATTTAGAGACTCTGAGGTAAGTTCCTTCATCAGCTCTGCTGGCAATGGCTCAGGTGTAGAAACTCACACCCAGCAGGGAGGGTAGGGAATGTGTCTAACCCCCTGACTGGCAAATGGTACAAAGGTCCACTGCCTGCAGAAATATGACCCCTTGACCCAAGGCATTCACTTAATTAGATACTTGTCACCCAGGGAAATGGTTGTTATTATTGCAGTGGGCAGGTTGTCATTTGTTCAGCAGTAACTACAGCTCTCCTACAGGAGGCAGTAGGAAAGGACTTCTTGCCCAACAGCACACCACTGTCTTTAGATAAATTCACAGAGAAACAAATCTACAAGGGAAAAAGAATGAAACACTTTGGGGGACAAAACAAAGTCACCAGCTACTTTGGGGGACAAAACAAAGCCCCCAGCTAAGTGGAAACCATTCTGTGAAAGTTAGGTACAGATTCCTTTTTGATACCTCCAAGCCAGGCTTGGGAAGACCTCCAGGCACTGTGCATGCAGAAGTACACTTGGTCTCTCCCATCATAAGAGAAAGGAAAGGTTTGAGGCAAGAGAAGGAAAGAAGGGAGTCACTCATCAGCCACAGTTTAAATCACGACATACTGTCCTAACAGGATTCTCTACAGCCTCGACAGAAGCACAGTTTATGAAAAACAAAACAAAATGAAACCAAAGTCAGAAGGCTTGTCCTCAGCATACTGGAATAACCAAGAACAATCTGAGATGGATCTTGTAGATGGGAAGGCAGTGGGGCATGCATCCGCTGTGCAGATAATTTTAGCTGTTTGAGAGCAGCATTACCTGTGTTCATACAAACTCGCTGGGAAGCATTGGGGTGAAAAGAACTTGGCCTAGGAGTCACATAGGACTGGGTGTGAATTTTGACTCAACTGAAAAAGTACTTAACCTCTCTCAGCCACAGTTTCTTCATTAGTAAAATAGACAAGAAAATAAGCCCCGAAGGATTGCTGTCAGGAGTAAATGAGATGTAAAACCCTTGAAGAATATCTATCCTATAAGACTGCTTGGTCTGACTGTTACGCCTGACCCTAAGTCTTCTCTCACAGAGTGGTAGTGAGTCGTCCATCTCTCCTCTCCTCTATTCTCTTCAACAACACCATGGAGGCATGATTGGCTAATCTATTTCTTCCGTTTGCCATGACTTGTTGCAAATGGATGAAATAGAGCATCTTGAAATGGAGCATTTTGTAATTTAACTGATTTAATGAGTCAGAAATTACTCAGCACATTTTAAAACACAGTATCTGATTTACACCTTGACTAGCATTTAAAGCCTGCAGTTCTTCCACCACTCACCCAGAACTCACACTCCTGAAGAAGGGACTCTCCAAAGTTCAGGGAGAGGGACCCTTTGAAGTCAGCACCCACTCCTGCTTCCTACGTCAGTCCTGCTGAGTACTTACTGTGGGGAGAGAAAGGGAAGGAAGGTGTGGGAGGTAGACGTGGTGTTTAGTTTGACTATCAATAGGAAATAATAGCTATACTTCTTAAGTGATGGATAAAAATCCAAGGCTTCTGATGAATGAACAAAAGAAAGAATCTAAGAGTCTGGATACCACTGTGTTCACTTGGTAGGGAAAAAACCCACATTTACTCTTCATTCCATTGGACACATCATAAGACAATTTTTATCCATAAGAAAACACATACATATTTAATTTTCTCCACCTTTAAGTCTCTTTTAAGACTAGGGTTATTTACCTGTGGTTCATTGATGGGTTAAAGGGGCTCATTAACCCACTAAAATTAAGGGCAAAGTTCTTGTGTATGTGTAGGTTTCTATGAAAAGGAAGTTTTTATTTGATTCTCAGAGGGGTTTGTGACCCACCCCTAAATGTACACACAATGACAAACTACTGGGCAAACCACCTCAGAGCCTGGTCCCTTCTCTGTCTGTAATGGGGGCTCTTTTCATGGTTATCAATGCGGACGCTGTTGACATCTGGGGCTGGGTGATTTGTCATTGGTAGAACTGTTCCACTCAATATATGTTAAGCATCCCTGGCATCTGCCCATTAAGTGCCAATATCATTTCCCAGTCATTGTGACAGCCAAAAATGGTCCCATACATTTCCATATCCCTCTTAGAGGGCAATACCTCCCCTGGCTGAGAAGATCAGGTTCACTTTCCCCATCTTCTCTTTCTTCATCAGAAAAATGCAGGAGGTAAGCGAGATGACCTCTAGTGGCCCTTCCAGCTCTATGATTCAGTAGTATCTCATACATCACTCCTAACCCCTGCCCCTAGTGTAATGCTTGCTCCTAGTCATCCCACTATGCTGACAGATGTGTGCCCCTTGGGGGGACCTGCAAGGTACCATAAAAATTGCATAGAACTGAGGCCTTGGTCCTAGACTTGGCTCTGCCCGTGGTTAGCTGCGTGACTTTGGGCAGTCCTTTAGCATCCCTGGCTTTAACCTCCATCAACTGTAAAAAGGATGAGTTGATTTAGAAGGTAAATGCCAGCTCTAAAATGGGATGATTCTTTGCAGTAATGACCATAGGGTCTATGAGATTTCTGTACATCAAGGAAGTTCCTAGAAGTCTATTCTCAGATATTAAAATAAGTCCTCCTTTAGGAAACACACACACACACACACACACACACACACACACACACACGTACGTGTATGGTGTTCTTATAAGGCTGAGTCAGAGCAAGATACTCCACATACCCCTCCGCCCCATTACCCTAAGTGTTAGATGACACAAATGAGATGCCTAAGAGAAAAAGTCTTATGGGAGGGAATATCCTATTTGGCCTTATTGACGAGAATCCAAGAATCTGCACAGCCTTAAGGAAACTGTGAGGCACAAAGCTCAGCTGTTAACTCCTCTAAGAGGCCTCCTTTAGCTCCTACAGCAGAGTTAAGCGCTCAAAACATAATTTAAATGCATTTTTATTGATTCATTAATTTTGTCAATAGCTGTTATTTGCTAATCTATTTACCTCTGTATCAAGTACATGAGGTCTTTGAACACAGAGATCATGTAAAATTTCTCTTTGCCTTGTTGATACAAGCCCAGCACAGAGGCTGAAACATAGTAGAGACCCAGATAAATGCAAAAAAGCAGGAATAAGGTTGGCCCATGGGCTAGAGAGAAATGAGATGACTAAAACAAGCTTAGCGTGCTTCTAGGTGGGGCTGGCTCATGACAGTTTGTAAATGTAGGCTCCAAGCTTTGTCTCCTCTGACTCCTATAGGAGAGTCAGAGCAGCGTCTGTTGTGTTAATCACTCTCTCCCTGCAAACAAGACACTTCCTGAACTCACACACTATCTGGGCAATCGTGTGAAGCCACCATACTGTTAATTCCTGCTATTTCTCTCTCGTGAACAGCATCTAATGGGCAGAAAGACCTTCTGCATTTTTCTCCAGAGACTTGACACCACATAAGAAATTATTTCCAAGAAATCACTTTTGAAATACTGAATTCAAATTTTCCTAGTCAAAAATGACAGCCTTGTAGTAGGAAAGTTTGTGGACCTTGTGAGAGAGGTTTTGAACATAGTATTGAAAAGGTTAAAAAATTAATATTTTTCTAAGGACAAATGTGTTGTGGTTGTTTCCAACTCCGCAGACAATTTGCCTCCACAGGGTTTTCAAGCACTGCCTATTCTCTGGTCCTCCTCCTGTTTCCCAACTCTTTCCGTTCTACAGCAGAACTCTTGACCTCCTCTCTCAACCAGTGAGCTGAGTCTTGCCTGGTCTCTACAATTGTCCATTTTGGCCCCTTGGGGATGGTGAGGAGGGCATGGTGTTGGGGGAAGGGCATGGCAAGATTGGCCAGATGTTGGGGTAGAGTTTGTGGATTGAAAGCAGGGTAGCGTGTTCATTTGAGGTAACTAGGAGTAGCAAAAACCAAAGAATAACAGAAGGTAGTGCCAAAACAGTGGTTGTGTCAAGAGGATGGCTTGGGGGCTTTGGAACTTCAATAATTTCATTAGCAATCCCTCTGCCCAAGCTGCACCAGAGTGAGTGAGGGCTGAGATTATGATCCTTTTCCTGACAGAGCTGTATGTTGCTTTAGTGAGCCTGGAGGGGTAGGGGTGTGTGTGTGTGTGAGTGTGTGAGTGTGTGTGTGTGTGTGTGTGTGTGTACATTCTTCGAACAGGCAGTCTTATAAAAAAAACAGGGAGAAAATCCTGGCAGCAGAAGTTGGAGATTATGACCAAGGAATGGAGCCAGGCTGCAGCCATATTTGACTGCCAAGATCCTCTTGAGGGCAGAAGATGCTCATGATACCTGCCTACTTCTGGGCAGGACTCAGAAAATCCCTTCTATGGATTAGGACCAGTAGCCTCCAGTCTTCTTCCCAGCTCCATCCAGCAGCCAAAAGCAGCAGCAGGTGGTAGGAAGGACACAGGGTTAGGAGAAAGATCTGGATTCACCTTTTAGACTTGCCTCTGCAGATCAGCTATGCAACCTAGGGAACGTCACAAACTCTCAGGGTTTTAATTGGTTTATCTCCAAATAAAGATACTAAACAGGTTTCAAGGTCCTTTAGAATCTTAAATTTATTCAAATAACATTTATCGAGTGCCTACTATGTGCCAGGTACTTTCTAGGTGCTGGAAATACAGCAGCAAACACAAAAGACTAAAATACTTGTCCTCAGCTTGCATTCTAGTGGTGGGAGGCAGAGGGTAAAGATAATAATAACCTATACTGTAGTTTAGAAGGTGACCAGTATTGTGGGATGAAATAGAGCCGAGTAAGGAAAGGAGGACTTTGATTGGGGGAGGGGAGAACTGCAAAATCTCTAATATCTTATTTTCTGGAATCTCAGAGAATGTTTTCTAAGGCAAACCTCTGAGAAATGGGGATATGATGCCTATTAAGCTGAGATAATCAAAAATAGGAAAAAGAGGTTTATCTTTCACAAGATTTGGGAATATTCTTAATTAGCATCCCTTCCCCCAACACTAGCTCACTCCAGGAGGAGGAAGTAGATCTTATTTTTAATACTCACTCAAGGTTTGGTGTGGGAGTATTGACATGAAAGTCCTTGAAGTTCAGGATGGGGTGGTACAATTGCAAACTTCCCTACATATTCCTTGGGAACCCCAGAGGAGGAGGTGTTTATAGGTGACAAGCAGCTTTGAGCTCTTCTCCCTAAGGCTCTGTAATTACTGGCAGTCTCAGATTTACTAGTCAGAAACATGTCTAACCACTCTAAATAGCAATGAAAACTTCATATCATGTGAGAGTCCAATTAAAAACTGACTCAATAAATGAGCAATAACTCATTGGAAACCAAACTATCAGGGGTTGGAACACAGGAGGGAGTCAGACAGAAGGGCCAAGGAAAAGGTACCAGTTTCCCTTTCACTTTTCCTCTATCTGGACATATGCCAATGAAGCCATTTAATCTCTAGCAGCTCCTGGAGCCAGTGACCCCAGTGCTCCTTGATGAGTTTACATAAAGTACCTCCTGATTAGTAGTAGGGACAACGGTTCATGCCTGGAGAAGAATGGGACTAAGGCTCTGGGAGGTCTGAAATCATTAGCCACCAAAGCATTTGAACATGCTGCAAGAGGAAACTCTCCCTCCTCCATCAATTGTATTGATGGAGTATTCTCATTGTTTCAATGCTCATTTATCAGTTTTTAAAAGGTAGATCTGTTTCTTGCTGCCTCCCTCCCTCCCCCTCTTTCTCTATTTCTCTTTGCAGAACTAGCAGCATATTCATCTGAGTTCTGAGATCCAGCATTAATTGATTTATATAATTTTCTTAACTGTAAAGAGGTAGGTGGAAGAATGGAGGGGGAAAAACAAAGATTGACACATGGCCAATGTTGGCAGATGGCACTTGCCAGCCGGCAGACCAGGAGAACATCACAAGATGCACTTGTGCTTAACAAGTTAAAAAAAAACTACTGGATGGTGGTTCCTGTTGACCATATGCAAGTAATGAATTTCCTGGCAGACATTTACTGTGTGAAGCCCAGTAGTTAATTGGCTCCCACATCTAATCCCAGAAAAGACAATGCTTGGAAAGGTCATCTGGAAATCAGGATATTTTCCAGAATGTGCATTATCTTGTAGCTTTCCAAATCTCTGTTTATCACATTATTCCATTCCCCATGGCCCCTTTTCTGAAAATTTAGCTATCTTGTTCTTCAGACTCTGAGACAAAAGAAATAAGCTGGTTGGAAAATGATGTAAAGTTTAGAGCAGAGAAGTATTCAGTAGGTTTCCTCTGCTGGCAACATTTATTTACATGGTTACCATTTATAATAACAGAGAAAGCCCTTCTGTTATTAGATCATACCATATCATTACTGATGCTGTGAATGCCCAAAGCTCTCTGGATCTATTCTGTAGATTTCAGTAAAAATTTACAATATGCATTCTAGTTTTGAAGTAGAATAAACATGACTTCAGAGTCGGTCTCCTCTCCTCTGTGTTCCTAATTATTTCTACAACATCCTCTATAATAGCACTTCTCAAACTTTTAGGTCCACATGAATCAGATTCTATTATGTCTAACCTGATGCCTGGGAGTCTGCATTTCTACAATCTCCCAGGTAATGTCAAAGCTGCTTGTCCATGTACCACATTTTGAACAATAAAGGACTATATTTCTATGCCACAACTGCCCTGATATGGGCCCACATGATCTTGCTGGATTTCTGTGACAACTAACTGGCCCTTCTGTTCCAAGGACCTTTCTCCATACTGTCCAAGAAGCCTTTCTAAAATGTAAATCTGACATCATCAATTCTCTTCTTACTGCCTCTGCAATGGCTTCGTGATGCCCACACATGAAGTCTCAGCTCCTTATTGATGGTCTTTGGGCTCCTTCAGGATGGGGCTCTGTACCTAGCCAGCTTCTGCCATTCCAGATCATAAGCTTGATGGCCTTGTGTGGTAGCCAGCTTCAAGATCTACTCAATGATCCCTGTTTCGTGCCTTTGTGTAGTCCCCTCCCATGCTGAATAGGGCTGATCTGTGTAACCTCTAGGATTCTGTGTGACTTCCAAGGTTATTACATAAAAGATATTTTGGTGTTCACCTTGCCCTCTCTTCAATCATTCACTCTGGGAGAAGACAGCTGTCATGTCACAAGGACATGTGAGTAGGTCTATCAAGAGACACACATGGTAAAGAACTGAGGAGGGCTCCTGTCCATTGCAACATGAGTAAAAGATTTTAGAAGCAGATCCTCTAGCCCCAGTCAAGCCTTCAGATAACTGTAGCTCCTGCTGACCCCTTGACCACAACCATAATCATATGAGAGACATTTCATTAGAATCTCCAGTTAAGCCACTCCTGAATTTCTGATCTATGGAAATTGTGAGGTAATAATTTTTTATTGTTTTAAACCACTAAGTTTTGGGGTAATTTGTTATGCAGCAATAGTTGACTTCTCCTATTCACAGTATATAGTTTCCCACATAGTGCTGGCCCTTCTTCTTGGGATATCTTTCATCTAGGATAACTCCTGTTCATCCTTTGAGATCCACTCTCTAGCTGCTTTCTCCAGGAAGCCTTAATTGACGTTTTCTTGCAAGATTTGAGCAGACGCCTCTCCGCTGGGCTGCCATGATGCCCTGGGCATGTCTCCATTCTTGTATTTGCTATAATGTGTAGTTATTATCTATATGTCTGACAGTCCTACTAGACTCTGTGAGCTCCTTAGAGGCAGAGGACTATATCATTTTGGTATCCTCAGTGCCAGAGTACCTGGTACATAGTAGGCACTCACTACATGTTGGAATAAATAAATGAACGAGTCAATTGCACTAGAATGGTGGCTCTACAGCAACTATATCCCTTTACCTTGGGAGTTCTTTTTTTTTTTTTTTTGAGGTGGAGTCTTGCTCTGTTGCCCAGGCTGGAGTGCAGTGGCGCGATCTCGACTTCACTGCAAACTCCGCCTCCTGGGTTCACGCCATTCTCCTGCCTCAGCCTCCCGAGTAGCTGGGTCTACAGGCACCTGCCACCACGCCCGGCTTTTTTTTTTTTTTTTTGGATTTTTAGTAGAGACAGGGTTTCACTGTGTTAGCCAGGATGGTCTCGATCTCCTGACCTTGTGATCCACCCGCCTCAGCCTCCCAAAGTGCTGGGATTACAGGCATGAGCCACCACGCCCGGCCACCTTGGGCATTCTTTAAACAACTGTCACTACTCGCCTGACCAGCCATGTCACATGGGTCAGCCAATATGCAATCCATTGACTGTTTAATTTCCGGTTCTTGCTCACACCACTCACTGACTGACTGACTTTAGTGCACTTAATCAGGAGAACATATCAGAATTACCTGTGGAGATTTAAAAACTATACAGTAAACCTTCATTTAATGTCATCCACAGGTTCTTCGAAGCTGAGACTTCAAGCAAAACAACTTACAACAAAACCAATTTTATTTTCTCTTCTACACTATGACGAAACAACACTGAATGTGTCATGTGAGGACCTACTGTATGTGGTTTTGCTTAAAGTCACAGTTGCCAAAAACCTATGGACAATGTTATGTGAGTACTTCCTATATTCTTATCTCAGTCCTGATCCCAAAGATTCTAAGTCACTAGTCCTGTGGTAAGCTCCAGACATGCATATTTGAATTCTATAGGTGACTTTTCATACCAATATTGATATTCATGAATTTGATATCTAATCTATGCCCCAAGGGAGATAGGTGGTTTATAAGAATACAATTAGTAAAACAAACAAACAACAGCAACAAAAAAAACCTAACAGCAACCCCCACAAGTGATGATAAGGCTGGGTGGAGGAAGAATATTATCCAGAAAATCTAGGCTAAGGAAACTACTGCAAGTGAACTAATTTTTTAAGAGCTTTCTTGGAGTCAAGGCAAAAAGAGATCTGAATATATTACACTATTATCAATATTTGCAAGGAGTAGCATATAAGTTTGTCAGTAAAGACAACCTTTGTCCTAGTATTGAATTATAAGAGGAATTTATCTTACAGGTCTTGATATAAGAGGCACCGGACAACACAATGAATGGTATCTTTGGTAAACTTTTTAAAAACAAAAAAGTATAGGAATGTTTCACATACAGCCATTTTCAAGAAAAAGTCAAAAGCATAATGTTAAATTTTAGGTTGGTGAAGGTATTTCTACAAAGAGCCAAATAATAAAGTATATAGCTTCCCTGTTATCTGCCTTGATATAGGAGAACTATGGAATCTGGAGGGGAAAAAGCATGCATATTCCATTTATTTTCAATGATCTCATTCAGGCTTTCCGCAAAAGCCCAACAGCAGACACCTCTTCATTCCATCTCCTTACTTGGAAGTCCAAACTTGGGATTTTCTCTCACTGCAGCTCTGCTTGTCAAGGATGGCAGGTTGAGATGGAAAGGTTAGAGGTGTGGATTAAATGTGAGCACATTGGTTCGCAAAGGCTCCCACACATTGGGTTCAGAATCACTGCACTGCAGCCTCAGCAAATGATAGGAGGATAGTTATATTTTATCTGCAAGTGCTAGTGCCGAAAGTGCTGCACTGTACTGCAGGCTACAGTGATCACATTCAACCCAAAGTATGTGTTCTGCCTACCAACAGGTTGGGAGCTCAAGGACCCATTTTAAAATGAACTATTTCAAAGCTTCAAGGTAGAACATCAAACCTCAAAGACATACAAAATGTTAGAGACAGGAACAAAAGCTGTCTGGAGGAAGTAAGTTAATAGAACACATAACCAAAGGATCCTGTCTTGCCTACGTCTGGCTATGATGATTCCTAGCAGATCTATGCTAATCGGATCCATCTGGGTATATGTAATCTTTGATTAATGTGAGTGTTCAGAATGACCAGCAGTGAGGCAGCTGTATTCAGCATTTCAGTATCTTGGTCACCATCTTGTTGGTGTTTAGAGATGACTGTGGTGAGTGCTGGTGCCCAGCAAGAGTCATTCCTGACCTCCGGACTGCTGCTACAGTGGAGTGTGTCCTTGGACACCACAGTTCCCACCATCTACTGCCTTAGCCTTCCCAGTAATTTTGGAAGCATATAATTCCTTATATGCAATCCCTTTCTGCTTGAAATACCTAGAGTGATTTCTGTTTCCTGCACTGTTTTCCTGACTGACATGCCTGCATTATTTCATTTGGTCCCTTCAGTAAGCCTATAGGGTAGGTAACTTCATCACTGCTTGTTTTACGAATGACCTTCAAACCCTGTTCTTTTTATGGTAAGTGCTTTGCATATTCATGAACTCATGTTTTCTCCACAAATTTATACTTGCTTCATGGACTGTTCCAAAAGCCAGTGCATGCACTTAGACTATCACTACTTTTTTTTGTGTGTGATGAATTTGTGACCAAATCAGACAGAAACAATATAATGACAACTTGCAGAGGAATGATGCTATCTTTGCTACAAAACGGTGTTACATCTGTGGACATTAGTTCAATCCCAAGTTAGTTGGCTTCTTGCTGAGAATATCACAGTTTCAAGTTAATAGAATAAACTTCTAACCACAGACGTGCAGCTGCAAATGTGGCTCCTGCTCATGAGCAATCTGGACAAGAGAACATAGATGGCTGAAGTAATCTATTATTAACTGGGAAAATAGCATGATAGATAGCTTTCTTCGGGTGAATTTTTTTTTTTGAGACTCAGTCTTGCTCTATTGCCTAGGCCGAAATACAGTGGCACAATTATAGTTCACTGCAGCCTCAAACTCATGGAGTTTGAGCAGTTGGGACTAGGTATGTGCCACCACACTCAGCTAATTTTTTAAAAAAAAGTTTTCTATTTTTGTTGTTGTTTTTTTAAGAGATGGGTTCTTACTACGTTTCTCAGACTGGTCTTGAACTCTTAGCCTCAAGCGATCCTCCTGCCTTGATCTCCCAAAGGGCTGGTATTACAGGTATGCATCATCACACTTGGTCTGTTATTTACTTCTTGAAAGTAGAATATCTAAAAATTTTCACTTCTACTTCCCTGATACTCCATAATTCACCTCTGAGCTGGAAAATGATTATTTCCTTTGCAGGATGAAAGAATGTCTATTCCATAAACAGACAAAATAACTGCTCTGAAAAAGGCTCAAGTTAAAGGAAAAAAACAATTATTTCTGAACTGGATGTGCCTTTTGCAGTAGCTCTCCTATCCCTTGTCCTCTCACCGCAGCTGTGTGGTCTGGAAAAAGACAGCATGGCAGACTGACTTCTCCACCCTGCCCAAATGCTGCCTGCAAGTTTTGATTACATAGTTTTGGGATTATCTGTGTCCTTCTCTCTCTTCCATTGCTAATTTTGGGCTACTTCACTGTTTAGAAGTCTGTCCTTCCTGGGGTTGACATGAATGGTAAAATTCAAACTTAAGCAACAAATTTGACTTTTTAGTGTTATTAGAATCTCTAAGTATTATCACTCAAGAGCTTCTTTTCACCTTTCCAACAGGTCAGGGAACAAGGCTACAGTGTTCACAGATTTGGGGAAAAATTTCATTGTTATATTTATGGGATTCTCCAAGCACTGAAATGGTTTATTTTACTTTAATTGTGATCAGGATAGAATAGAAACGTAGCAAACAGTCCCAAACAAAGTATACTAGAAGAATTGATGGAGCTTTTAAAGGCAGCAAACACTCAGGTAATAACTTAGCTTCAGATGGCATGTTCTTTGCTACCTACTTGCTTATGCAGAAAATGGAATTCACCTAATTTCTCACTTGCCACTCCAGTTCCTTCCCTTTAATTTACCACTACAGTATTTCAATTATTTTTCTCTAAGAAAGTAAAAGCTTTCCAGTTCACCACACAAGGTTGTCTGGAGTCTTACAACACATATGGTCTCTACCTCACCTGGGGCATTCTCAATAGGTCAGGATTTTTGCAAGGGAACATAGCAATTGGTTTACAAAGTGTTACAAACCCTTGCCTATGATCTACAGCAACAGAGAGCTTCCAAAAATACACAAGTTTTAAGTATTTCAATACAGGTTCCCATTTTCACTCCATTAGCAAGGTATTCAGGACAAAAATTTGATTTATAATCATATACTTCAGGAATCTATTCTCAAGAGATTTGGAAAAGACGCCTGTCAGAAAAGGGAACATATTTGGAATTGTCAAGATTTCTGCAAAGCAACTCTTTTGAGTGAAAGGGGTGCAATTACTAGACTGTAAGTTCTTTGAAGGGAGCAACCATATCTTCTCTTGTGTGCATCCCCCGCCTAGTGGGGCTTGGCACACAGCGGGGACTTAATAACTAGCTAATGAACTGACTTCTCAGGAATTCACAAGTATTACAACACCCTCATCTCTAATGACAGTTAGTAGCCTCTAGGATATGTCTCCCTGCTTTTCCACATGCTGTATCTTAGTTGGTGGGTGCACAGCAACCCAAAGCAGTGAAGATAAAAGCTCACTGCTATGTCTCTCCCATTTTTGTTTGAGCAATCTTTCTACATCACTATGGTAACGTCTGGTACCAGGATGCTCTATAAATGAAAGTAGGGAGGAGGAGGAGATCATGAGATTGATGTAGTTCATAGAAAATCTGCCCAGAGGGCAACTTCCTTGGCAATCTGCAAAACTTGTGCATGTCCTATTTTATAATAAATACATTTAAATAATATATGACACTATACAGAATAGATACAATATGTTGAAACAGATCCACTGAGCCCAGGAAAACTGCATTCAGTATGAAATTATAAGCAAGTGAATATTTTAAGACATTTGAAAAAATACCAGTGAGAATTTAGTCCACAGGCAGATAAGACACTCACTCATTTCAACACATAAAGGTAATAGCTGCAGAATTCCAAAAATGAGTGTATGAGACTATGCTGAGTGGAGGCAGAATATTAAACTGAGCTATAACCTGAATGGTAAAGTACATTGGCAAATGTAGTTATGAAGGGCAGGGATAACCTAAGGAAACAAATACATATGTTAATGATACTTGCCCTCTGATATGTGCAACTTCAAGGCTCTTTATGACCAATGCCAGAATTTGAGACAGGTGAGGGAGAAAGGACATGAAGTAGCTGACAACTGAACCACAAACTCATGGTTTTCCACACCAGCTTTACACTGAGCTAACTATAACATATTAACATCCAAGCTGGGAATGCATCTGTCTGCCTGAAGCAGCCGCTAAAATACCATAGAAAACCTTCCCTCCTGCAGATCATTTTGTGTGAGGACATTTGAAGAAAGCCACCATGGCTTCTTGATTTATGGCTTCATTAAAATGTTTGGGCTTCAAACCTCCATCAACGTTTATTGGAATTAACAGCTTCTTAAAATGGAAATATTCAATGATAAATTAATGCAGTTTGGATCTTGTGAGAGGGAAAAATAGAGTGCTTTCAGACACCCTTTACAATCCTCCAGGAAAACAGTAATACTTTCAGCTACTATATGCCAGTAAGTCTCAGGAGTGGGCAGGTGAGAAGAGGTAAGTAAGAGTATGAGGAGCACAATCACTGATGCACAGCCAGGAAGAGTGACGATGTCTGCTTTCTTTTCAGAAATGCATTTTTAAAAGGGTCTAAGTTATTACTGCTGTAGAAAAACCAAAACCAATCCAGAAATTAAAGGGCTGCTTTGTTGATTGCAGACATCAACTAACTTGATGTCCACAGAGGTCTCAATCCAAAGGTGTGACTTCATGGTGGACTGTTTGTGAAAATTCCCATAAGGAATAAGAGTGTGAGCATCTGAGGTAGAAATTTATCTTTTTATATTCAGAACACTTATCTATGCCTAGCAGATATTACATATTTGATGAATGAATAAATGAATGAAACAGGTACCACTTCCAGAGATGGCCCTAGTTTTTTGTCCTTGTGATTTCTCACTGTCCGTGTGTTCTAACCACAACAGGATCTACATATGATGCTGTTGTTGCCATCAGCACTGAGGTCACAAAAAGCTCATTATCTCTTTCTTTATAATGAGCAATTTTGGACCTAAAACCTATCTGGTTAGGACATCTTTTACTCTGTTGACTCTCTGGGTTGACTGAACTTGCCTCTCTCACTCTATATCATCCAATTCATGAACGAATCCTTTTGACTTTACTTCCAAGATGTTTCCTGATTCTCATATTGCCCCATATCCATGACTACCACCTTAGTCCAATTTGTCACCATCTCTTCTTGCCTGACTATGTAATCAACTCCTAACTGGAAACACTGCTTCCACTCCTAAACTCCTACAATCAATTCTCCACAAAGCAGTCAGGTATCTTTTCAAGACATAAAGAATATCATGTTATTTATCTGTTTAGAATTTTCCAATGGGCTCCTCATTACACTTAAGATAAAACCCAAACTTCTTACTTTTGCTGCCCAACTGCATGCATACCTCATCTCATTCCACTGGTTCTCTCTCACCACTATGCTCTGACCACAATTGGCCCTCTTTCTATTCCTCAACAATCTCAGGCAGGTCCCTACTTCAGGGCCTTTACCTCTGCTGTTCTTCTATCTGCAAATTCTTTTCTATTCACCTTGGCAGGTGTCATTCACAAAGCAACCTAATGTCATCGATTCTGAGATGCTTTCTTGACCACCCAAACTAGCTACTAATCACATGCCATCATAGTAACCCCATTAATTCTCTGCTTAGTAGGGATCTCATGCTGATAATAAATTTTTTTTTTTTTTTTTACTATTGTCTAGATTCCCTAACTAGTCTATATGCTCCAGGAGGGAAGATATCTTATTTGTCTTATTAGCTACCTAGAATGATGACTGGCACACAGTAGGTATCCAATATTCTTAGTGAAAAAATGAAAAGAAGACCCAAACAGTCACAGGTGAGCAGCTTTACAAGCAAGAAAATATTAATGCTTTACTGAAGCAAAGACGCTTAACACCTGGCTCAAGGTGCAGATGAACTGGTACGGTTGTTTCCACATCTGGCAGGAGCCTCACTAATCTCTTTGTGCCTATAAAACCAGTTCTTACTCTTCTTGGCTCTGGGCCCTGCAGATCCTTTCCTGGGCTCTGTTACCACACGCCTTCACCTATCTGGACTCTGAAGAGCCTTCTGTGGGCATCCGCCTATTCTGCACTGACACAGGAACTGCCTCCTTGGCTCTTTGGGCCAAATAAAGAACTGATCTCCTGAGAGACCCATTCCTCCAAGGTTTGTCCTGTTTTTAAGAATCACACCCATACTCCAGGTATTAGTAAACTTTCCTTGCCTCTGTGGTAAGATATCATCACTAGTGGCCACTGGGCCCTGTATCGGGACCCAAAGGTACTCTTGTCCTCCTATTGAAAAATTCTATTTCCTTGAACCCATTATTTCTCCTAACTGCCAATATCAAATAGCTGAAAGAACACCGGGCTTGCAGTCAGAGGCCAGGAATTAAAATCTTAATTCAATTATTTATTTGCAGCCAATTTAACCCTGAGTATTATTTAACCTTATTGAGTCTCAGTTTCCTCAACTGTATAATGGGGATAACACCACCTACCTCTTACGTAAATATGCGAAAGCAGTGGGGCATGCACTTTGTAGGTACTCCACATCTGAGCCAAGGAGGGAGGCTAGTCCAGAACCTGTGGTCTTGCCCACTTCTCAATGGCTTCCTCTAGTGGTTCCTCAAGCATTCATAGGAAAGAGATAATTCCAGAACTCCAGAAGAATTTCACAACACCAAAAACCCTTCTTCGGTCATCAAAACACAATTCTTATAAAGGAAAGAATGACATCTCACCACAGGCTAGAGAAGCAAGCATTAGAAGCAAAATGAAAGAATCAGTCCAGGTTTATTAAAGTACGAAGTGAAACAGATGACAACACTTAATTATGTAAGACTTCTGACTTAGTGGTGGTAATGTATTAAGGCCAATAAGGTCTCCTTGGTAACTGGGAGAAATGTTAGTGGACTTGCTACCCTATATTTAAAAAGCTACCCATCAGGACAGTCTGAGACTGAAGGATAAACCAAGGGAAAAATGAAAGGATTATTGCATATGGGCCTGCAAATACTAAAACAAAAGCAATTATTTTCAAATCATTCTCTCAATCTTACATTTCACTTTTCTATATCTTGTCAGTGAATTTTAAGCCACTTGGAGGCAGAGATCAGTGAATTGTTGCCTACATAACAATTCTAAGAATAAACTTTTTCTCTTGGATAACGTTCTTCAGGCCATGAGGTATGCTCACCTGGTTCCCTCTCCAACTCTCTCTCTGTCTGAATGAAGAGTTCCTTTTGCTTCATGCAAAGTTTTGGGGATGACCACTGAGTCAGAGTGGATACAGTCTGAAGAGGATGAAGAATAGCAGTATGAGGCAGTGGTGATGCCAAACAGCTCTGAATGCTGACTGGTTCTAGGGAATGCACCTCTCTGCCCTCTGAGCTGCAGGGACAGGGAGATGAGCTGGCAGCAGCTGCCTCAGAGATAAGGATGTGAGACACAAACACCTAAGGAATTCCTTTGGACTTCCATCACCCCCCTCCATCCAACTTTATCAAAAGCGAGGTGGTGTGGGCAGCTGGCTCCTTTCAGCCTGGGCCCACCACATGGTATGCTTTCCTGCCTTCACAACATGCCCTTCTTGTAGCTTGATGGAAACTATGGTGAGGATCTTAGTCTGTTAGGGCTGCTATAATAAAATACCAAACAACAGCAATTTACTTCTCATAGTTTTGGAAGCTGAGAAGCCCAAGATCAAGGTGCCAGCAGACTCAGTTTCTGGTGAGGGCCCGCTGGCTGGTTCATAGACCATACCTTCTCACCATGTCTTCAAACGGAGGAAGGGGTGAGAAAGCTCCTTAAGGTCTCTTTTATAAGGGCATTAATCCCATTCACGAGGGATCCACCCTCATGACCTAATCACCTCCCAAAGGCCCCACCTCCAAATACCATCACATTGGGCTTCAGGTTTCAACATATGAATTTGGGGGGATCATAAACATACAGTCTACAGCAGGTTATAAATGGTATTTTCACTATGGGACTCAGGAGCATCTGAATCCTGTCCTACCCATCTCCCTTTAAAGGAGATACATAAAGCAACCCCTCCTTTAGCAAAAATTTTCTGGGCCTCTGGCTTCTTCCAAACAGGGATAGCTCAGTGTTATACACTAAGTAAGTTGTTGCATGAAAAATAAAAAAGAAAAGCCCCTGCACCTGTCTTTCTCAACAGACAACTGGCTGAAGTTTACAACTAGGCAGTATCTACTCCACTTAGTTTAGATACACTACTTAACTACCAGAGAGTTTCATCCCTTTTCATTTGCTCCTTTACTCAGTAACAGCTCTCAAAGATGGGGAAGGAAGAGAGGCATATCTAAGTTTTTAATATTAGTCTAATTTGCCAACTTAAGCTTTCAAATACCACTGAATAAATGACAAGTAGATTCACTGAATTTAGAGGGAGAAACACAATACTTCTTTAGGTTTTGTTTCAGGGGGATCAAGTTTTAAGAGGCAGTGAAATGAAGTCAGGTTCAACTGTTCCAAATTTCTAGACACGAGCAAAGCTTAAGCCATGCAACAATGTATTGCTTTTCTAAGGATTATTAATAATGCATTTGTAACTACTCAGAGACTGGCAATAAACTTTCAGAGAGTGAATAAGAATGTAATCTGTCCACAGCAACATAGACAAATTACTTTGATAAATTCTTTACGAGGGTGCCTCATCTCCTGCAATTCTTGGATTGGTTACAAGTCTATAGTTAATCCTTCAATAACTCCCACAAGCACCTCATTACTCATAATACTGTGACATCCTGAGTTGTAAAAGAGGTGCTGTTATATAACACAGGCACTGTATAGCAGCCTTAGGTTATGAATATTAAGAGACAATCTCAAATGAGATAATATCAATAAAGACCTCCTGTCGTCTCTACCCAAGAAATAAACTAAAGGAAGGCAGTGTCCTTGCAGGCATTTTGACATCAGGGATGGTAAGTACAGGCACTGTTTCCCTTTCAGTTTCATGATTGTCATCCCTCTCACCAAGCCATGACTTTAGAACTATGTTCACGGGTAAGACTGACTCAGTAATTTTACTTTCTCATACTATCATTTTCTGGCTTTTGCATTAAGGTTATAGTAATTTCATGAAGTGAATTGTGGAGCACTTAACTGGCTAGTTTGGTCCATTTACATTTACTGTGCTTACTGACATTTGGATTTATTTCTGCCTTGTCCTACTTATCCAGATTTCTCTATATCTATTTTCCCCTTCTTGATTGCCTTCCTTTGGACTGAGTTTTTTCTTTCTTATTCTAATAGTTCTGTTTTACTGGTTTGGAAGTTATGAATTCTATGTCTTTTAGTAGTTTCCTTGAAATTTTGCCATGCCTACTAAAACTTGACTATGCCTAAGTTAATTGATATATTTTCCATCCTAACAATACAAGGAATTTATAAGACTTTGATTCTCTTCATCCCCTCCCAACTTAACTGCTATTATTGTCTAGTATATTTATTCTGTGTTGTTTTTCATTAACCCCACATATTAGACATTATTATATGTTTCATACAGAAAATGTTTGCTTGGGTTGACTACTATGTTTGCCAATTTCTTTGCTGGCTATTCCTTCTTATATTTAAGACCTTGTTTCTCAGAAGAAATGTTCTTTTTCCTGAGGCATATCTTTTAGAAGTTCTGTAAATGAATGTCCATCTGTGAAAATGTTCTACTTTAAAAAATATCTGAAAATGTCTTTATTTTACCCTCGTGCTTTAATGATTATTTGATCAGATCTTTAATTCCAAGTTGCTGGTTGTTTTCTATCAGCATTTTAAAGATATTATTTCACTGTCTCCTTGATTCTGTGGTGGCTGTTGAGAAGTCAACCATCAGTTTAAATATTATTCCTTTATAAGGAACATTTTCCTCTGGCTGCTTTTAGGATTATCTCTTTATTTGCTGTTTTTATAACCAGGCATGCATGCAGTTCTTGTTGTTTATTTATTTATTTATTTTTGAGAAGGAGACTCACTCTGTCAGCCAGTGCAGAGGCTGGAGTGCAGTGGCATGATCTCGGCTCACTGCAAGCTCCGCCTTCTAGGTTCAAGCAATTCTCCTGCCTCAGCCTCTTGAGTAGCTGGGATGACAGGCGTGCACCACCATGCCTGTCTAATTTTTATATTTTTAGTAGAGATGGGGTTTTACCATGTTGGCCAGGTTGGTCTTGAACTGCTGACCTCAGGTGATCTATCCACCTCGGCCACCCAAAGAGCTTGGATTACAGGCGTGAGCCACCACGCCCAGCCCTTATTATTTTTGAGACTCACAGTATTCCCAGAATCTGAGTATGCATATCTTTCATACATTCTAGAAAATATTCTAAGCCATTATGTTTTCAAATACGTCTCCCCCATTGTCTCTATTCTCTCGTTCTTGAACCCCCACCTGTACTTATGTTAGGCCTTCTCATACTAGCTTCTGTGTCTCAATTACCCTTTCTCATTTTTTTACTTTCTTATTTCTCCATAGTATATTCCAAGTAATTTCTTAAGCTCTGTTTTAGTACATTGATATTTTTAAAGAAGATGTTTAATCTGCTAGTTAAGCCATCCACTGAATTTTAAATTCCAATAATTACATGTTTTTAATTTTGTAAGTTGTAGCTGGGTCTTTTTTCAAGTTGAGTAGTCTATCGTCTCATAATCTTCCTCCCCTATTTCCATCTTTTGTTTCAGTATTTTTATATAGTGTAACAGACTGTCTCTAAAATGGATGCAACAATACTCTGGCTCCAAATGCCTTCTCAGAACCTTGCCAATCCTCATCAAGAAATGAAATACATTTTCCCTTCCCTCAAGCCTGGCTAGGCCATGTAATCTCCTTAATGAGTAAAATATTGTGGAAGTGATGCTGCATGACTCTGAAGGTAGGTTAGAAAGGATTATATGACTTCTATCTGGTTCTCTCTGCACACACCCTGGGAACCAATTAACATACTGTGAAGAAGTCAAGGCCACATGGAGAGGCCACATTTGGGTGTGTGGTTGATAACTCCAACTAAGGTCCCATTCACAGCCAGCATGAACCACCAGAAATATGAATGAATGAGACTTCAGAGTATTGCAGCAGTCAGCTGTCAAGTCACTTCAGCCTTCAGGCCATCTAGCTGAGGACCCAGACAACATGGAACAGAGACAAATCATTCTTCCTATATCCTAAGTCACTGACCCACAGACTCCATGAGCATAATACATGGTTGTTTTATGCCACGAAGGTCTGGGGTAATTGTTAAACATTAATAGATTATGAGAATATCAAGTAGTTCATATTCAGTATCTGATAATTCTAAGTTTTTGGCAGTCTTAATCAATCAATCATCAATCTCTTTTTTTTCTCCTCTCCCTTTTGCTGAGTCTTGCTTATCATAGCTTGCTTTCTTATGTATTTGGTAACTTTTTACTGAGATCACATATTCGACTGACGTTAATATGCAAGTATCTTGAGGCACCTTGGTTGAGAACATTTTCCTACCAAGAGAATTTCCATTTGTTTTAGCTGGGTCCCAGAAGGTGTTACCAACTGGAACTATTTTTATTTACATGGCATCTTAGAGTTATTCATATTGCATATTTAATAGGAATCAAAACCAAAACCACAAGAGGGCAGGCCTATGGTTTCCAATTCTCAAGGGAAGCCTTTGTTGTCACTATTTTTTTCTCCACTAAGAGCCACTACTGACCAATAGGTTTGTTCACTGGCTGCCTTTGTTATAGATGAAATTTTCCTAGGTACATTCATTCAACCTACAAACATTTATTTAATAATTTTATTTATTTTGGTAGAGATGAGATCTTGCTATGTTGCCCAAGTTGGTCTTGAACTCCTGGCCTCAAGGGATCCATCTGCCTTAGCCTCCCAAAGCACAGGGATTGCAGGTGTGACCCACTGTGCCTGGCTTGAATACTTTTTAATGTTCTTTTATAGGAATATGACATATATTCCTTTACATGACATATTTAGGAACCCCAGTAGTGCTGCAGCCAGGTTGACAATTTAGTCTTTAAAATTATCTAATTAGTTACCTCCCGAATTTGTTGGAATTATTTTGAACTATGTGAGATCAGGCATGTTATCTTTTTCCTTTTGTTTTCTTTAAAATTCATAATGACTACAACAGTGCAATATGCCCAAGAGATGCTCAGAACACATTTTTGAAGATGGCTGTCAGCCAACCAAGGGAAACCTGGTAAACAATGAAAGCAGGTAAAATTAAATTAACCACTGGCA
Organism: Homo sapiens; assembly: GCF_000001405.40. NCBI lineage: Eukaryota > Metazoa > Chordata > Mammalia > Primates > Hominidae > Homo > Homo sapiens. The sequence continues at coordinate 133,253,725 of NC_000003.12, read as the reverse complement.
ACACGAAATCTTCCTATGGATTTAGAATTCAAAAACCCTATCAGAAAGGGTGGTATGTGTTTCTGTTTTCTGTACAAATCTAATAATACCTAAAGAGTTAAAGAATTTGATAAATTTAGTAAGCAGTAACAACTGGGATGGACTAACTTGAAGAGACCACATACTGTCATAATTTATGTTTCTTCTTTGGCCTTTGGTGGGCTTTTCCCATGTTATATGATTCCAGTGTGCAGATCTGATGACATTCTGGGCTAATTTTTGTTGTTTTTTTAGGGCAAAAACATACATCCATTTAAGAATTCTAGAATCAGAGACTAGGAAGAGTTGAAACAACCTTACAGATCACTTGATGCACTTTATATAGGTGAGTAAACTGAGACTTCTTATAAATGGGTAAACTGAGGTCCAGAAAGGTGAAATGATCAACAAGTTGGTAGGAGAGCCAGTATTAGAATCTATCTTTTCTGAATCTCAGACAAATGTTTCTGCCACCAAACCACTCTTCTTGTCTTATATGGTATTTCTTGAGTAAAACAACAACTGTAATAGGTTTCTCTGTACAGTCAACCCTTGGTATACTTGAGGGACTGGTCCCAGGACCCCTGAAGAAAACAAAATCCACAGATGCTCAAGTTCCTTGCAATAAAATGCCATTGTATTTGCATGTAACCTACACACATCCTCTTGTATACTTCAAATAGTTTCTTGATTACTTATAACACATAATACAGTTGGCCTTCTGTACCTAGAAGGGATTGGTTCCAGGATTCCCCTTGGATATCAAAATTTATGAATGCTCAAGTCTTTTATATAAAATTGGGTAGTACAGTCAGCCCTCCATATCCACAGATTCCACATCTGCACATTCAATCAACTGCAGATGGAAAATACATATGGTGTTTTATGTTTCTTTGAACACTGTATGCAAGAATGGAGATCACCTAGTCTAAGCCTCCCACTTTACAGATAAGTGATCAGAAGTTCGGAGGTTCAGAGAAGTCTCCAAATCTACTCATTTAGTTCTCAAAATGTCATAACTCCTTGACCCCTTCATCTTTTCTTTTTTGTTTCTCTACTTTTCATTATACTCTCAAACTCTCTTCCTCTTGATTTTTCTTGCCTCTTCTCTACAGAAACATGAAATATCTGCTTAAGAAACAAGACTTTCTTACATACTATTTTAAGAAATGTTGATCAGAACTTGAATTAGCAAAACCTAAAGAGCAAGTTATCAGCTAGATTCCAGTGTGCATGTATAGTTGCAGGCTCACGAATTGTGATTAAAATGCTATTGTTTTCCTAGTTACTCCATTGCTAAAATTTTCATTCAGATTCTCTACATATTAGCCACACAACACCTGGAGGACACAATTTATACAGCTTAGAATGTGAATGGTGCCCCCACAGTTGTGCAGCAAACAACCTGAATAACCTTAGATGGTAGTCCTGTTTTCATTCATCTCACATACCCAGAATTTTTCAATTCTTTTAATACCACCATAACAGAGAGTTGAAATGAATCATGTTTTTCTTTCTCTTTCAGTCTTTTCAATCCTGTGAATAGCAATATTTACCCCCATGAGTCTATCAAACCTTGAAATTAAGGTGGTTCTGGTCAGTCAGTCATTATTTCAAGGACACCCACATCAACAGATACATCGATGGTGACAGTAACAACAGAACTCCATAAGAGGAAACTATTAATAAAACAGTGCTGTAGGAGTTTCATAGCAACAGTGATTAGAATTAGTTATGTCTGAAAAACATGCCTATTACCTTTATTTTACTACATATCATAGGCCGTCAGAAAAATCCAATGCTTGACAGTCTGTCTTATTTCATTAGTTTTCTTTGCACCTAGAGTTTTTTAAGCTTAGAGCTAAGAACAGAGATGACTAGTTGACTATCCAAGATTCACATTTCCTTCCCACAGTGTAGATTTGCTCTTGGGAAGTGGCTCCCCAAATCTAGACAACATTTCCTTGTCCTCTTGCATCTAGATAGGACCACGTGACTAGACAGTGGGATAGGAGCAAAAATTTATATGTATCACTTCTAGTCAGAGGAGGATACCTATCCAATATCTCTTCCCTTTCTATGATAACCTTGAAGGCCGGCATTGAAGATGATGGGATTCTAAGTGGGAGAAGCTTGAGTCCCTGATTACATCTTGGAGGAAACCCAGACAACCAGAAATGTTTGTTTTGAAATTTCCTATGAGTGGGAAACAAACTTTTCTTATGTTAAGTCATAGTGATCTTTGAGTTGTTATAGCAGATGGCCTATACTGACTGAAACAATAAATATCTGTTGGTTGGCTGTATGAAACTCTTTAGAGACCTTATCTTAACATATTATAACCTCTGCAGTGTCTTTTATAGTAAGTGCTTAATAAATGTCCATAACAATTTGATTTGGAGAAGGATAATCTTTTAAAGCCATCCTTCTTGAGAGTTTAAAATTTTGTTTGTTTTAATTGACTTTTAAGGGATATGCCCAGGATATAGCACATATAATACTTGCACATATAACAGACATTGAAATATTTGTTGAATAAATGAAACTAATGCTTATCTTTGTCTATCAATCTCATTCCATGTCCCTTTGGGTTACAGAATGACTGATCATGGACTGGCTGAGATCCTAGGAAAGTTCACCAGCCCAGACTACCCAGCAAAGCTATATGAGTCAAAAACT